>NC_000013.11:87162069-87465100 GCF_000001405.40 Homo sapiens | reverse complement strand
ATACATACATACATTGTGGAAGGACCAAATCAAACTAATTATCACAGGCCAGGCATTACCTCAAATACTTATTATGTTTTTGTGGTGAGAACATTTAACATTAACTCTGTTAGTTATTTTTGAGTACCTGATCCATTGTTATTAACTATAGCTTCCATGTTGTACAATAGCTCTCTTAAACTTATTATTTCTGCCTAAGTGAAAATTTGTATTCTTTGACCTTCATCTCCTCAGTCTGCCCCAACCACCCACCCACCCATTGGCCAACTCCCTTTTAACCACCAGTTCTACTTCTGCTTCTGTGAGTTTGACTTTTTTAGATTCCACATTTAAGTGAGATCTTGTGGTATGTGTCTTTCTATGGCTGGCTTATTTAACTTAATATAAGGTTTTCCAGATTAATCCATGTTGCCAAAAATGATGGGATTTCCTTCTTGGATGCTTAGACTGATTTAATATCTTGGCTATTGTGAATAATGCTGCCATGAATATGAGTGTGCAGGTATCCCTTCAACGTATTCGTTTTATTTCCTTTAGAAGACATACAGGAGGAATAAGAAAAAATTCTCAACATTACTAATCAAGGAAATGCAAATTAAAACCATAATCAGATATATCACCTCACATTGGTTATTATTAAACAAGACAAAAGATAACAAGTGTTGGTAAAGATGTGTTGAAAACAAACTCTTGCCCACTGTTGGTAGAAATGTAAACTAGTACAGTCATTATGGAGGTTTCTCAAAACATTAAAAACAGAACTGCCCTATGATCCAGCCATCTTTTTTTTTTTTTTTTTTGAGTACTCTCCACAATATAAAAAGGTAAGAAAAGTTACCACCTACCGTGATTCAGAAGGTGTGTAGAGGGGAAGAATATATAAAGTGATGAATTACGTCAGTCTAAATTATATAGCACAAATAATGGAAGAACATAAAATGTTTTCATCACATCACATAGAACTCCAAAGGAATATTAGCAAAAACTAACCTGACATTGACAACATAAAACTGCTGCCGCAAATGTTCGCTGCTCTTTTCTACTCAAAGAACCGTCTTTTGGCTTTGCTGTTCATCTCTATTAAATATTTGTTTCCTGTTTCAGCAATTTTTCAATAAACTATTTATAAGGTCCTTGCATCATTCTTGTATCTCTTCAAATGATATTCCTATTTCATATTATTTTAGCCTATATACTGTTCAAATGTAACTAAATGCAATACATTTTTTTCATATACAAGATTTTAAAAGGATAAATATTCTTCTAAGTATCATTTGATCAGCATCCCACAATCTATATCAGTAACGTTTGCATTATTATTCAGTTCTAAGCATTTTTATTAATATGGAAATATTATATGTTAAGATTTATTTACCCCATATTATATTTCAGTGTTTTTATTTTTTCTCTTCAGTCATATATACTACATGCCGATTACATGTTTCTTCTATCATTTTGAAGTTTTGTACTTAATTTCTCTAAATAGCTATTAAAAATTATATTTCACTAAAATTTGAAGTAAATTTATCCAACTTCTTTTCAAATAATGCAATGTCCTTAACACACTATATTTAAACCTTTAAACATTTCTCAATAACAAAAATTTATTATCCACTACTCTTATTTTATCTAAAAGTCATCAATACAGTGAGGACATTTCAGTTTTTGTGTCAACAATTGTTTAGATTTACCCATGCATTTACAGATTTTATCTTCACTGATTATGCTTTTCAGTCTTCATTATAAGACAGTTTTCTCTCTGAATTTAACATAAAAATACCACAAAACAGGAATGGATGCCACAGACACCATGTTTTTTTGTTTTTTTTATTTTTTTAGAAAATTCTCTCATTGTAGTATCATTCTGAAGTGATAAAGATAATTTTTGATTACTCCTCCAATTATTGGTCCTGCTTAAATAATTTTACCAACCAAATCTTTACAATTTAACCTACAATTTTAGGAATGTTGAACTTCTGTTTTGGTAGTCCTAATCAAAGTTCTTAAAGTAACTTTAGTTGTTTACAATCTATTTTCCTTTTGATGAATTTATCTCAATTTGTCTCAGTACTTTACTTCGAACTACTATTGGTTATTCCAGGAAGTTATCTGAAGAATTGAACTCCAATTTAGATGTCAACTCTCTGAGAGTCAATTCATTCATTACTAACAATAAAATCCCTACTTTGTAAAATCAAATTACGTTGGTGAACTTATATAAAGGGTATAATAGCTCAAAATATCACATTTGTCCACAATCCCACGCTCTGCCTTTGTACTCAGTAATTTACAAGGCCTGATTTTATTATTTAATTTGTAAGCCTAAGCTTCGGGCAATTTTACAAATGTCCAAGATGTTTTGTGGCAGGTGTTTTACTGTTTAGAATATTATTTGTGAGAAGAACTGATAACTGATAAACACTCAGAAAAGTTTTGATACTTAGTCAAAACACACATGTTGACTGTCTTTAGGGTAAAAATGCTCACTGATGTTAAAGCACACATTACAGTGAAGATGGCAGATGAGTGCTTCACGCATTGTATACTCAAGTGTAATGAAATATATGGTAAAGGCCCAAGCAGGCCTAATTATTGTGTTCTGATAAAAGTGTGGGTGCTTCCAGGGGAGACTACTATGATAGAGTAAATTATAAGGAATCACTATTTTAAATGTTATAATTGCTGCCGTGGTTGTTGGTAGCTAGAAATTGACAAGGGACCATCTGCAGTGCCCTTTTACAGTTTCTTCTATTTCTTGTTCCAAGAAATAGATACGATTCTGTGTTGTAACGGCTTACTTTCTATATGATCCCTGATTGCATGATAGCTTCTTATGCAAAAATATGAATTCCCAACCTTGCTATTTTTTTGGTCAAGAAACTGGTTATATCGGGCGGTGGGGGGGAGCAACTTTTGAATTTTCTATTTTCTCCTTCCATTTCCCCAGGCTTGGTCAAAGAAATTAGAACAACTTTACTCCGAGGCTTTATCTTAGTATAAGGCTTACAGTTATTGAGAAAAGCACAGTTTTGTTAAGAGAATGGGAAAAAAAACCACTTTGAATCTAAAGTGTGAATCAGTAATAAGCACAGTCAAGTACTGGGAGAGAGGGAATAAGCAGGAAATGTGAGACACTGACTGAGGAAAAGGACACTAAAAGAAGGATCTGGAGCCCTGGGTGGCAGTTTTATGCAATGCAAAATTGTGCCGGCCCTTAATTCAGCATCTAGGGAGCTAACAAAACCTTCTAAAATGTGTTTAAAGGCTCATATATTCCAACAGCAGTATATAAAGAGGCTATGAGATAAAACTTCATGATTGTGGTGTTACAGTACACAAGCTAATGCTGGAGACTATGCACCTTTAGTTTCTCTAGCACCTACTTCGTCTTTCCTCCTGCTCACTCTTCTTTTCTTTCTCCTCTTTCTTCTCATTTTTTTCTTCTTCTCTTGTTTCTTTCCTTTCTTCTTTAACGAATATAATCACAAAAACAAGCATCTGGAAGGACCCTTGAAAAACATATTGTCCTTAATGTACTTAACGACTTTATTTTTACACTTGAAGTCTCGAATCTAAAACTAGCAAATTTGTGCAAAGAAATATTAGGTGAATCAACTTTCTCACATAAACAGTAATTAACTTTCAGATCAGATAGAACCAAATTCTATACCTGACAAGCTCATAAAGTGTTAAAGTAATAAAGAGAATTTTAATCTGGCAATGAGAAATACATCTAATTTTTTAAAATTTTTATATCTTGAAAATGCTCTGTTGATTCAGGTAATTCAACATAATTCAAACGGAAATGCTTCCAAGAAAAGTAAATATAACTTATTTTATCAAGCGCCAATTTTGTATTTAAGGAGAAGCAAAACTGAAGGCACAGTTTTAAATTTGTATTTTAAGATTGTTGGCACAGAAAAAAAAAAAGAAACTTTATCTCTTTATTTTAAATTAGACTCATTCACCCACAACTAGGAGTCCACTTTAAGTAGATTGTAATAAAACAGGATTTTAAGGTTAAATTATATTATTAAATTAAGCACCTACTCTGTTACAAGAACTATTCTAGACCTGGAAACTTCAGAAGGAATAAGGCTGAAACTTTTTTTTTTTTTTTCTTTATTGTAGTTTCTAATCCAGCTGTAATGAAGACAGACAACAGTCAAATTAACAAGTAAGTAGGAGAATTTCAGGTTATTATGCATTGTTAAAAAATTGAAATTGAATGAGAGTGAGGAACTGAAGACAAAATTCATGGTTTGGTCGGGGAGAAGCATGACATTTTCTATTTGAGCCTTTCAATTGGCTGGATAATAAATCGGTGGAGGTAAGCACATCTGATTATCCATCATGAGCAACAGGAGAGAAACTGAGTGAGTTCAAAGGAGAATAAAGCAATTAGGAAACACTTAGCTTAAGGAATTTACCATTGCTAGAAGGCAAGCTGAGTGTCTGTGGTTTCCTCTCTTGAGATGAATTTAAAGAGGACTGGTGGTCATGATATTTCAACTGCAGAGATGCACCCAGGAAAAACACAGACAAGTTATCTGTTTTGTTTTGTTAATAAGAGAAGAAAACATTCCTTGTGTTTGCAACTTTTTCTTGTAATGATGGACTTGTTATTCTAAACAGGAGGCATGAAAGATGATGTATGGTGATAATAAGATAAAAAGTAGCTGAACGCAGGATTTTAAGTCTTGGCGAGTTCAAATAAATATTGTATTCCTGGTATACAATCACTTGTCTGAAATCCTTGGAACCAAATTTGTTTCATAATTCAGCATGATTTAGACTTAAATAATTAAGTTTTTTATGGAACATCTCCAAGAAGGATTGGAGAAGAACCTGCTAATTAAATATGATTCTTTTTCTGCTCTGAACAAATGCATAGTCACATCAAATAAGAAAAATAATGACCATAAAAACGTGATGAATGAAGTCAATCATGTCAGGTTTTACCACAAAGTGAGTTTTAGCACCAAATCTATGAAAGCACCATTTTCTTTTAAAACTTTTAGTGTCTTGGAATGATAGAGATTTTGAAAGTGTTACCACTTAAGTGAACAAGAAATATAGGAGGGTGTTTCAAATCACAGGATACTTGAATTAGATATTTCAGAAATTATGCTATTTATTATACTGACAGGTTGAAAAGTTTGTCTATGAGATTGGGGGATAAAGGTGGAAAATAAAGTATAATTTTGTTGATGGGCTACACAAATTTGGAGACCAGAATTATGGGCAAATTTTCCATATGGATATGGATCTCATGGAGGAAAAGGGATAGAAAGAAATAGTGTGAACCAAGACTCAAGAACCTCATAAGTAGAAAAATGTCTTGGGTGTTTGCAGATGACAACAATGAAGGGGAAATGTGTCTATTTTTGGTCAGATATTCTTGTCTTCAAACTCTTTGGGTTTATAAAGTTTATTCTTATATTGTATTTTAGTCCTTAGAAAAATGACTCACTTTCCCATCACACAATTGAAACATGGAAAAGAAAACAGACTCAGGAAATTACATAAGTCTGTTAAATAATTCCAACAAGAAGTCTGTTAACCACCCCATCCTTCCCATTTTTGAGCAAACAAAATATCACGAGCTTCAAATAAGAGAAATCAAACTTTGGAATTAGAGCTGGAAAGTTGTATTGTGCATGCTCTCCTTGAGTAATGACAGTTTATTTCTCCCTCTTTATTTTCCCTTGATAAAAAACAAAACACAATGAAACAAAACTCCAATGGAAACTTGTATCATTCAGGTAACGTGTATGCCTTTCAAAAAATTATACATTGAGATGTATGTATATTGAGATAACAGAAAATATCATATCATCAAGTCAGATACAGGAATCTCAGATCTTACCCAATATCAAACTTTAATATTACTTTCAAAGTAGAAGTAGTTGTGAAGCACAGGTGAAATGGCAAGTCTAGAGCTACAGATATTTTTTCCTATTTTCCTTCCAGCCTCATTAGGAAACAGTGATGTCCAGCTGTATATGATATATGAGTTTCCTAAGTGCTAGATGTTATTATTGTTTACATAAAAGAAAGCCATTTTCATCAAGAAAAAAGCTTATTTTACATACCAAAGCTTTCATGACATGTTACAGGAAGCTATATTCCCTTGTCTCCAAAATCTATGGATTACAAGTTTGTCATAAGAACTTCTAGTCAAATAATCTACATTCTATTAGTAAATAGTATATTTATTAAATCTCTTTTACTAGCATATCTTTCAGGAGATTTGATCGGAATGGATTATAGGTCTCTGGATAACTCTTTTCTTCTGGAGACACTTTCTAAGCTCTGTCAGTATCTCTTTGACACATATGTCTTGGTTGTGTTTTTAATGTGTCTTAAAATTTCCTCAAAATTTTATTCAAAAAAAGATACTTCACACCTCAATGACCATCTGGACTTGAAACATAAAATGGGGTTCAGGAGTTATTGCTGTAATATTTTTATTAATAACTGTGTTCCTTCTAAGGCCTTTTAATTGTGTATTTCTAGCTCAATTTTTTTTGTTTTTATTCATAGGCATTTGAATATTTGTAAGATTATAATAGGGCATGTGGTATTTTAAAAGCCAAATGTCTTTTTCTAGCCAGTAACTCTTCATAAGTATTACATTAATTAGAGGCTTTAAATAAGCTTCCAGAAATATTCACTCATTCTATGGTTCATGCTGTACATAAGTCTGAATTACATTTAATTTTGACAATAAAATTATAACCTTTTGGTTATAACACACATGTAGCAGAAAGCAAAGCAATGTTTTACATGCCATACATCAATTAAAATTACAGTACCGTTCTTCAATTCTTTGCAGCAGAAGTAAACTTTGATCATGTACCGCATATTGCCAGTGACAGATCCTTTGACCACATGATACTGACCAGCAAGTTTAGGTTGTACTGGTTTGTGAATGTAAGCATATTTCAGGTATCTTCTACAGGATTCCATAGATACTGATTTCCAGGTGTCATGTTGGTCACTATTCATCCACTCCTATCACAACAACTTGATGATGTTTTTTCTTCCTCTATCCACTGCCAGCCAGTTGCTACAGAAAGTCAAATTCCATTTTTAATTATGTTAATCAGCTAATTCTATATTAAATATGAAGACTACATTTTTCAGAGATGTTCTGCCCTGAGACTTACTGTAGTGTTTCCATTAATCATCATCAGCTTCTGTACCTCTAGCAATCCTACCTTTTAAATATATTTGTTGCATACTATTTAGAATACCAATAGTTCTTTCTGTGTGATGGTTTAAGAAAGCTGTTGCCATTGCCAGTGGTATAATGTTCAATTACGATAATTATCCAATTAATCTATTAACTTATAGCCTATAAATCATGAACTTAATGGTAACTGTAGTTGTATATTGGTCAATTGAGACAATGGCGTGTCATGGTGAAAGGGTGCCATTTTTTATCTGAATTATCCAGATGGAATTTTTAGTTGTACCGATCTGGAATAATCTGAGATTTTGCACTATTTGCAACAAACACTTATGCCTGCCAAAATTTCATGGATCCTGGTAGAAGATATAAGATTCCTTGGTCAGAGACAGAAGGAAATATTTTTACTCCCAGTGAGAGCAAAAACCTGAGTATCAGGGGTTGTATAGAATGATTGGAAGGAGATCCAGCAGACACATGCCGATGCAGAGGGGAATTTTTAAATAAAAGGAATTATGATTTTAGGCAATCTGAATATTTCGTGTGTAAATATTTCTGCTCTTTATTCCAAAGGGATAGATGATCTCTTATCTTCCAAGCTGTAAGCAAATGTTTTCTTTGTTCCTGAAGGAGACACTATCTTCCTAGGCAGTTCCCTACATCCCTACACGAACATTCTTATAAAGATTTCCCAGAACAAAATGCAGCTGGTTCCTTACTTGCAAAGCAGCAGACACAAGAGAGGCCCACTGAAAATTTTCTCCCCAAAATATTCACTTTTTCTTTCTACACTGTCTTTACTTCTGGATAATTTTTTGAGTACGCCACTTTATTGTCCATTCTAATTTTTGTGACAGAGATGGAACCAAATACATTTAGTTTGTTCAGTACAGCATTTAAAGTCCAATTACATGACTTCCATTGTAGGGATTACTTCCTATAAAATACACACTATAAATATAGTAATCCCTATAGAAACCCCACCAATTAACCAAGAATGGTCCTTAGAGAGATCTTTACAGTCATCTTAGGACTACAGGAGCAAAAGATGATGTTTCCTAAAATAATTCAATTTCTCTTATGATCATTCCCAAATTATAGTTCACAATGTTTTAGGAAAGGAAACACTTTAATTTCTGTCTTCCACATAGAAGTACAATTCTATGATCACGCATTGTGTTTCTGAAAAGAAAGTGTAATTTAAGATTATGGAAGCCTTTCAGGTGGAACCTGTATAAGTTGAGGACTCAGTGTGAAATTGTTTCCAACTTAGCCTCTCAGCCAGCCAATCAGTGACTCTTAATTCAGGCATTCCTATTAGTTAAATGGGCAGTGTTTTGTTTCTACTGACAAAGAAACATAATGTTCAGACCATGTAGTAAGGGTGGCAGGAAGGTTTCTGGTTGCCCTATATTCGGCCCCAATGACAGTAAAGTAACCTACCTGTGTATGTGGCAGTTCCTTTTGCCAGCTATTTCTCTTAGAGGTTTTCGAATACACCACTGCTACTTTCCAAGTAAACTTCATTGAGTTGCCCTCTCCTGAATAATACCTCTCTAACATTGCACAGAACATGATCAGTATTTCTACCCTTAAAAATTTCTGATGACATTGCCTCATTGATGAGAGTATTTTTGGCCATGCCTAGTAACAACCTATCAATGGTCTTTCAAATGGACCATAACTAACTATATGAAATATCTTCTAGCATAAAAGTATCAGGTTAGCATAGTAGTCAGAAGTCAGGTAAAAAAAGAGTTACTGAGAATAAAAACATTTGCTACAAACATTTCTTTAATCAGAGTTAAGAATTTTAACTCTGGAATTGTGTATTTTTCAATGTTTACTATTGTGGTTGCCTTGAACAATTCCAGTTTCCTAATAGGTTGGCCAATTGGAACTGAGGTACAAACAGACAGCTCCTTAAAATGGATGGGGCATTACACACTGCTTATACATAGTATTCATTGAAATTATAAAATCAGACAAAGGCAATGGATCTACAAATTAGTATCTACAGTCACTATTTCTATTTTTTATTATACTTTAAGTTTTAGGGTACATGTGCACAACGTGCAGCTTAGTTACCCCAAACACCGCATGTTCTCACTCATAGGTGGGAATTGAACAATGAGAACACATGGACACAGGAAGGGGGGAACATCACACTATTTCTATTTGAAAATACCCAACCTTGACCCTATTTACTTCTACATCTGCATAAACCTCCAGTATCAAGTTCAGAACATCTTTACTGCCCATAGCTAGACCTTACTATATATTGAGCAACAATATCTAGCACACCTAAATAGGTGAGCATTAATACTTGCCCCAAGTTTTTAAAAGTAATTTGACCTAAATACTTGCATCTGCCTGAGATCTCCCATTAGAAGATGGAAGAGCAGATTTTTGACCTCTCAGTTAAACTATTTCAGATTCTAAGGTTCTAACTTGGTGGATAAGTTCTGTCTCTGTTCTAGTATTTCTGCTCTAAATCATGATGTGCTTATTTTTATTTTAATTTCTCAAGGTTAGAATACATTGAAAAAAATGTTTTTTCTTGTTGTTTTTAAATACGGAGGTAGTATCCAAATGGCTTCCCTATCCCATCAATTTTGATAATGGGCTTTTAACTCTATAGTAGAAAATCATGATAGTTACTAAGCTATTGGGTCAGTTACTGCCCTCAATTTTTTTTTATTTTTATTCAAAATGGAAAAGGTTCAGGACTATCACCACCAAATTGGAAGTGCTTTCATGCATAAATAGAGAATTGTGCAGCAAAATTCAATCTTGTCTACAAAAACAATGGGTTGAATTGGAGTGAAGATGTTCCTAAAACATTTAATGGATAACCAAAAAAGATAATTATTTATTAATAGAAGTATTGTTGTTTCAAGATCTCTCCTAAGTACCATCTTAAATTATTTCTTTTTAAAATTGGTGTTTCCTTTAGTAAGATTAAAAAAATACGTATGTAGAATTCCTGCATTGTTATTGATGGTATCATAGTTCATTTGAGTAGTGATAAGACAATGTCACAGGCCAGGTGGTATGTAAGGAACAAAAATTTATTCTCACAGTTGTGGAGGCTGGGAAGTCCAGCATCAAGGGTTTTGCAAATTTCATATCTGGTGAGGGTCTGCTTCCTGGTTCATAGAATCTTTTCTCAATATGTTCCTCATATGGAAGAAGGGACAAGGGAGCTCTCTGGAGTCTTCTTTCATAGATAATTTATCCCACATATGAGAGTTCTATCCTCATGATATAATCACCTTCCAAAGACCTCACATGTGAATACCTTCACATTAGGAGTTAGATTTCAACATATGAATTTTGTGAGGACACAAAAATTCAGTCTTATGCATATTCAGTATTTTAGATTGGAGTAAAGGGAAATTGATTTTACACCTCAGTATGACATATGATCTGATTATGGAAAATATCTTAATATATTATCACTAATTGTGCCAATATTAACTAAAGAGAGTAAGGGACCTGCTGTTTTATTATCAATAGCGTAAACATATACGGATATGTTTCCTTGTTTACCATTTACTTGAGTTCTAAGAGCTCTTGTCATTACTTTTGAAATTCAGATGAAGAAATTGATTCTTGAGTTGTAAATTACTAATCTAAGCACACATTTCATAAGTGGAAGGCTATAAGGCTAATTAAATTTTTCTGGCCTATGATCCTTTATATTATATGATGCTAGGAAAATAAAGTAAAAAACATTTCAAGAAGGTAAGAAGAATCAATATCTCAAAACTGTTTTAAAATGTACCTTTTAGTATTAGAAGCCAGGCATCCTTTAAATTTCTAGCTGACTGTAAACTGAAAGTGTTGAAACAGTATCATGTATGGAATAAATGATCCATATATTTTTCTTAATTATACACAAAACAAAATTTCACAGTATATGTGACTGAAAGCTTGTAAGTGGTAAATACTGCAGTTAACATAACTCTTCTCTCTGAAATTGAAATACACTGCAAGAATTACGCTAACAAGTAGTTCTGTACAATCAGTGAGGTATGTTTTTGTGTTTTACATAGTTGCAGACCTCTGAAATGTTTATTTATTTTGAAGTCTTCCACTTAAATTCATATGGATCTGAATAATTTTCAATCTAATTTTATTTCCTCTGGTACTGTAAAATATTTTCAATTAAGAAGTAGTATTCATCCTAATGTCATGCTGTGCTCAGAAATCACACATTTTCTAAAGAAGATGCCAAAGTAATCTGTAGGATCCATTTTCAGTTTTTTCATGATTACAGGGACTCCTTCTGTTTTGAAAATTCTCAGACCTAGCATAGCATAAGCATTAGTGGAAAAGGAATAGATGTCTCTTATGCAAATAATCATTTATGGATCTTTTGTAGGTATGCAGATCCAATATCCTCTAGGGCGAGACACAAATCCCCATAATATCCCCATGTGTACAATTTTGCATTTGATGCTTGGATTTAGCTGACAGATGGCTAAAATCACAAATAACTGAATGACTCCCTACTGACTTCACAGCTGCACTGTAGAAGCTGAAACTTGTGAATTATTGCAGGGATGGTCAGCAAGAAGCTACACCATATTGCCCATATCCATGAGTAAGGATGTTGTTTGAAATATGAGCTTGGAATTATGCATAAAAAACAAATTTTTTATGAAACAGTCTTTTTAAGGTATAATATTTAGTTTAGAAAATGGTCATAATTTTTAGCGGTTCTTGCTGTGACTATTAGGAATTTAACAGCATCAAATTAGCATAAATATGTTTTCTCATATTTCTTTCTGAATTTTTTTCTTAATGGCTTTTGTGTCTTTTTAATATAATACTCCACATATTTAATTTGAAATTAAATGGTGTATGAATTTTGTTTGAATTATACTAAGAAATTGCATATGTGTGTGTTTTTAAATTCCTGTTTATCCAGAACTTCATATAAGCAATAACTGAAATTAATCCAAAATTATGTTGATGGAAATGGTCTGAATTTTGCTTTATGATTTAAGTTAGCTTTGGAAGTTTTGCATACCACTTTTCCTGTCTTTTGGGTTGTATCTTACTTTTGCACATGAGGAAGTAGGAGACA
Source organism: Homo sapiens (assembly GCF_000001405.40). Classification (NCBI taxonomy): domain Eukaryota; kingdom Metazoa; phylum Chordata; class Mammalia; order Primates; family Hominidae; genus Homo; species Homo sapiens. The sequence goes on along the minus strand of NC_000013.11, from coordinate 87,452,810 downwards.
TTTCCTCATGTGCTTCTTATTTGGGAAGAAAAAGTATAGAAAATGACACTCTTCCTCTCACTACTTCATGAGGAATGAGGAGCAGAGTCTGTTTCTTGCTTTAATAATGGCATTCTATACACATTAATAAAAATGATTCCAAATATATCACATTTGTCAATTGGATTAATTTCATAAAAATAAATGAATAGGAACTAAAGGAAAATTATGACAGAAGCATATTTTTTTTTGTCCGTTAGAAATTCCTCGAGAAGGTAGAATGTTTTACACTTATAGCTCAGGGAAAGAATGTTCACATGGCAAAAGTGGTTTGTGCCAATCTCCCTCAATCTGTTGTTTTGAGAAACCATGCAACCATGTGGTTGGTAAACTGTAGCAGAGACTGCACATGATTTTCTGTTATAAAGACAAGATTTCCAGGACTCCCTTTCTGTGGAGATATTTCCATGTGGCCACATTTTAGTCAATGAGATGTAGGAAAGTGCTCATTAAAAACATTTAGTCATTAGGCAGGTCCCATGGCTCATTTTCTTTTTTCTACTTTATTTTCTGGTATGCAGATTAAATATTACAGTCACCAGTAGCCATCCAATAGATTATAATAATGAATCCCACACATGGGGATGTCAGGATGATGAACTGGAAAGAACCTGTGTTCTTGAGCATTGGGGAGCTACAATCCTAGTCTTGTTCTTCCACCTTCCTTCATTTACATGAACAAGAAATACACTACTGTTATGTGAAAACTTATGTTGAACTTCACTGTTTCTTGCACTAAGTTTAACCCTAAGTCAATATCTAAGCCTGCAGTAAACATTTGAGAAAGCAACATATTTTTTCCCTTCCATCTAATTGAAATTCTGTATCCTTTGACCAACATTTCCTCAATTCCTTTGCCACTTGGTGCTCCCACCAACAGCCCCTGGTACCCATCATTCTTCTTCTAAATTTAACTTAAAATTTCTCATATACTTGAGCATTTGTATTTATCATCCTGTGCCTGGTTTATTTCACTTAATATAATGTCCTCCAGGTTTATCCATGTTGTCACAAATAACAGGATTTAATTTATTTTTATAAGTGATCAATATTCCCTTATGTGTGTATACCATGTTTTCTTTATTCATCCATTGATAGACAAGTTGATTCCATATCTTTGTTATTAAAAATAATGCTATAGTGAACATGGGTGTAATGATATCTTCGATATACTAATTTCATTTCCCTTAGATATATAGCTAGTAGTGGGACTGCTGGATCATATGGTAGTGATATTTTTAGTTTTATAGTAACCTCCATACTATTTTCCAAATGGATGTACTAATTTACAGTCCCACCAACATTGTTCAAGGGTTTACTTTTCTCCACATCCTCACTAACACTTGTTATCTTTTTTTTATATAATTTCCATTTTAACAGTTCTGAGATGATGTCCCACTGGGGATTTAATTTGCATTTACCTGATGACTAAAGATGTTGAGACTTTCTTAATATATCTGTGGGTGATTAATATGTCTTTCTTTGAGAAATGTCTAGTCACACCTTTTGCCCATTTTTAAAATCAGGTTATTTGTTTTCTTACTATTGAGTTGAGTTTCTTATATATTTTAAATATTAACCCCTTATCAAATGTATGGTTTGCAAATATTTTCTCTCATTCTGTGCATTGTCTCTTCACTCTTTTGACTGTAATGTTGGTTGTGCAGAAGCTTTTTAGTTTGATGTAATATCATTTGTCTATCTTTGCTTTTGTTGTTTGTGATTTTGGTTTCCTATTCAAAGATATCATTGCTAAGATCAATTGCATGGAGTTTTACCTTTTTGTTTTCTTCTAGTAGTTTTACAATTTTCGGTCTTATGTTTAAGTCTTTAAGACATTTTGAGTAGATTTTTGTATATGATGTGAAAAGAATGTCTAATTGTATTCTTCACGTGTGAATATCCAGTTGTAGAAACAATATTTATTGAAGATACTGTTATTTCTCCATTGTGTATTCTCATCAATGTATTGTAAATCAATTGATTATAAATTTATGAATTGAAGTTTCTATTCAGTTCCATTGATTTATGCATCTATTTTTATACCACTACCATGGCTCTTTTGGTTTCTATAGCTTTGTAGTATATTTTGAAGTCAGGTAGTGTGATGTTCCTGCTTAGTGTGATGTTCCTGCTTTGCTTATTTCACCGACAATTGCTATTGAGAATCTTTCATGGTTCCATATGAATTTGGGGATATTTATTCAATTTCTGTGAAAGATGACATTGGAATATTGATAGGGTTTGCATTGAATTTTTAGATCCTTTTGGGCAGTTTGGAAACTTCGAAAATATTAATCTTTGAATCCATGAATGTGAGATAACTTCCCATTTATCTGAGTTTTCTTCAATTTTGTTCACCAGTGTTTTATAGTTTTCAGTATATACCTCTTTAACATTTTTGGTTGTTTTTTCCTAAGTACGTTATTTTTTCATAGCTATTTTAAATGGTATTGTTCACTTGATTTTTATGGGGGGGCTGATAGTTTATTGTTAGTTTATAGAAACACAACTGCTTTGGGGATGTTAATTTTTATCCTGCAACTTTACTGAATTCGTGTGTTAGTTCTAATAATTTTTGGTGGAATATTTAATGTTTTTAATATGTAATTATGTCACCTGCAAACAAGGACTATTTAGCTTTTTCCTTTCCAATTCAAATGCCTTTTATTTCTTTTTCTTTCCTGATTTTTTTTTTTTTTAACTAGGTCTTCCATTGCTATCTTAAATAAAAGTGGCAGAGTAGGCATCTTTGTCTTGTTCCTGGTCTTAGAGGAAAAACTTTCAACTTTTCACTGGAGTTTCATGTTACCGGTGGATTTCTTGAAGATGACCTTTATGTTATGTTGAAGTTTGTTTCTTCTATCTAAAAGGGAATGATCCTTTTAATGTGCTGTTAAATTTGGTTTGCTAGCATTTTGTTGAGGAATTTTTCATCTATTTTCATTAGGGATGTTGGCCTGTACTTTTATTTCTTGTAATGTCCGTGTCTGGCTTTGGTATCAGGATAATTCTGGCCTTGTAAAAAAGTTTGGAATTATTCCCTTTTCAGTTTTTTCAAAAAGATTGATAATTATTGGTATTAGCTATTCTTTAGCATTTGGTAAAATTCAGCAGTGATGTAATTGGGTCCTGGGCTATTACTGATTAAATCTTTTCTTGATATTTTCTATTCAGATTTTCTATTTCTTTGTGATTCAGTCCTGGTAGATTGTATGTATGAAGAAATGTATTGATTTTCTCCAGATTATCCAATTTGTTGGCATTTAGTTATTCATATTAGTCTCATAATCTTTTGTATTGCTATGGTATCTAATATAATGTCACCTCTTTCATTCCTGATTTTGAGTCTTCTCTCTTTTATTCCTAGTTTAGCTAAAGTATTGTTGATTATCTTTAAAAAAAAAACATTTCTTAGTTTCATTGATCTTTTCCATTGTTTTTTCTAGTATCTGTTTTAATTATTTCTACTTTGATATTTATTATTTTTTCATTCTGGCAATTTTGCACTTTGTTTTTATTTTTTTAGCTCATTAAAAAAGTTGTTTATTTAAGATCTTTTACCTCTGTTGAGGTAGGTAGGTGTTTATTGCAGTAAACTTCCCTCTTTGAACTGCTTTTTCTGCATCCCATAAGTTTTGGTATGTTGTATTTCCATTTTCATTACTTTTAAGGTATTTTAAATTTCTCTTTTAATTTATTCATTGATACATTGGTTGTTCAGGAGCATGTTGTTTAATTTTTATGAATATATGAATTTGCCAAAATTCCTCGTTATTGATTTCTAGTTATATAACACTGTGGTTTAAAAACATACTTGATATGATTTCAATCTTCTTGAATTTGTTAAGACTTATTTTCTTACCTGTGATCTCTCCTGGAAATATTTTGTGTGTGCTTGAGAAGAATTTGTATTCTGCTGCTCTTGGTCAAATGTTCCATATTTGTGTATCATGTTCATTTGCTCTAAAGTGTAATTTAAATATGACATTTCCTCAATATCTTTTCTCTGAAAATCTGTCTCTGGGTATTGACGTCCCATACTGTTATTGAATTGTACCCTGTCTCTCCTTTCTATTAATATTTGGTTTATATTTTGAGGTGTTCTGATGTTAGGTGCATATATATATATATACATATATATACACATATATATATACACATATATATACACATATATATATACATATATATACACATATATATTTACAGTTAGATAACTTCTTAAAGAATTGACCTCTTTATCACTATATAATTAACTATTTGGGGTTGGAAGCTCTTAGTAAAATCCTTCTTATAGTTAGAAGAGACTTGGCTTGTTACCACCTATGTCTCAACAGGGAAATCTTGTTGTCTATATGCCATTTTCATTATTGAGATGTTAAAGGGGGGCAAACATTTACCATTAACTTGGCCTGGTTGAATTCTGTACCAGTTTGGATTCCAGAAAACAGAGTCAACTGATATATAACAAGCATATGTGCTGTATAAATGGGGGATGATTATATACTAAATTTAACTTAGTGTAAGAATTAAATTAGAATTTCTATCTTTCTAACCAATTCACCAATATAGGACATTGAATAACCAACTTAAGGAAAATTTGAATTTGAATGGAGGATAAACCTTTGCTAAATTATTTCCTTAGGGTAAAGGAAAAAAAAAGAGTAACGAATAGAAAGTATGAAAATATATCATTTAAAATAAAAAAGGACATGTATTTTATACATAGGAATGAATAAATCATGTACATACAAACACACAAGATCTAAATGAACTAAGCTACATACCACATGTATATATAGTAGTAGGAAGACTTAGTATCATAAGTTTCATACATATATGTATTGCAACAAAATGTAAAACAAAAAGACACTTTTAAGAAGAGCAAGGTGGCATGATATATACTATTGAATATTAACATACATTATCATTACAAATTACAAAATGTTTAAGACAGTGTGGAATAGTTCCAGGGATATAAATTAATGAAAAGTAATAGAGAAAGACATATGCATATTATCATTTGATGACCTATTTAATTGTGATGCTGGGTCAATTGTTTTCCTATAGAACTTAAAAGAAAACCAAATAAGTGCCTTATCTCATGCAAAAATATAAATTCTACATTGATTAATAATCTGTGTATTCAAAATTTACGTGTGTAAAGCCACATTACTTGAAAAGTTAAACTTAGTGTTTTGAGTTGGCTAGGGAACAAGAATCAATGCGAATGATATGGGTAAGAGTTTATTTTAAAGATTAGATCTTTCACGTTTTTTGAAAAGCTAAGATGCTAAAGAGCTAAAAAGGATCGATTAGAATATAAGAGACACCATTAACCAAGAACAACACGTGGTGCTAGTGAAGAAGTCCATGGAAGGTGGTTGTCTTCATATCTGGTAGTGGACTTGGAGTCACTGTATGGTGGCTGATAGTCAAGAAGAAAAGATGTATGCAAAGTGAAGAGAGTAAGTTCAGAAATCATAAAGACAAATTAAAATCTTGTTCTCACTGCCTCTACCCTTGACATGACAGCTGATCAGGAGGAGAAGTTCATACTCCTTGAGCTGGATCTATCTGCACATGCACCTGGCCCAGGAAGCTGAAATGGGAGATCTGATGAGCAGTGGAGGACTGAACCAAAGCCCTTGGCTTTTGCTCCATACCAGTCAGGTGAGCCTGCAGATAAACCACAAGATGTGCAAGTGTTTGCTTACTTGCAATAATACTCACAGCTTAACAGCTTAACTTCTGCCTTACAAACCTAACTGAAAACAAAATAAGAAAAGTCTTATTGCCAACCTAAACACAGAAAGGAGTAAGGAAAGGGTTACTACAAGAGGAAAAAAGAAATACAAACTATAAAGTTAAAGTAATGAAGTTAACTAAACAAAATTAAAATCTTCTGTTTCTCAAACGACAACACAAAAATTAAAAATACATGCTGCAGCCTGAACAATATATTTGCAGTGCACACACTCATGTAGATTAACAGTTACAATATAAATGTTCATATAAAGGTATGTGCCAAAAGAAAAAAATAAGAGATATGATGAAATAATTGATAGATCAGAAGTTGAAAAGTCAGCAAATGTTTGAAAATATACTCAACCTCATAATATCCAGTTAATATGCTTTGGAAATGTATGTGGTGACCTCAATTCCATGTGATTGGTGGAAATTAAATAGTTCGATGAAACCAAATGTTGTGAATATGTGGAACAATAGGATACCTCAAAAACTGGTAAGTGGGAAATCCATTAAAATATGCACTAAGAGAAAATTGGGGCAATACCTAGGAAAGTAAAATATTGTCATAACTTTGGGTCCAGCATTTCTACTCATGGTTATATGTTCTATAGACATCATCATCCTTGTGCAAAAGTAGATTTGTACAATGTTTTTATTTTATCATCGTTTGTAATTACAAATATCAGAAAGGAACAATCCTCTGAAGAACAGGAAAGTTGTGCCTTCTTTGCCAAAGAAATTTTTATGAAATTCCAATATATTTGTGGACATATCAACATGAATAAATTATCAAACATACTATTAAGCCAAAATACGTGAGTATATAGAGAATAGGTTATACAAGAAAAACAAAAATGAAATTAAAAGCTATTATATGATATATTTTAAAAAATTACATCCTTTATATGTGTATCTAGTAACTAAACAAAAAATTCAATAAAAAGATACATTTAAACCTCTAGATGACTGAGCTAGAATCAGGAATCCAATTCCTGAGCTGATCGGGAATCCAATAGTAATTTATTTTTAATTTGTAAAATATAATTTGTAGATCTTTCAGGAGATACAAATGATTGATAAATTATTATTTATGCTCTTTTTATGTGGTGATATAAATCAGCCAACCTTCTGTCAATGAACAGCCATGGAAAGCTTGCATAAGCAGTGACTAGACGTTCATGGACAAATTGCATAAATCCATTTCTTTAGCATGAAATTCAGTCTCAAGATGTAAATTTTTTATAACTATTTATTCAGTGAATTAACTTTTCAAATATACACCCTTACCTCCAACTTATCTTCCACTCCCACTCCAACAAAAAAGGGGGAGAGAATAACATGCTAGTGGTGGATTTTAGATCAATTTTCCTTATGTATTCGCATCAGCACCTCTGGAGGGGTTGCTATAAAACATACTGCTGGGCCCCAACCCTAGACTTTCTAATTCGATAGATCTGACATGAAATGACTTGTATGTCTAACAAGTTCCACATGATGCCCATTCTCCTGACCTGGAGGCCACTCTATGCCTGCCACTCCATGAGACCCAGGCAAGCAGCACCAGCAACAGAAAGAGCACCGTAGGCTTATTACAAATGCAGAATTTCTGGCTCCAACCCACATCTGCTGCACATGTTTTGTGTCATTTTTAATATAACAATGCTTTTTTAAAATACAGTTTTCTTTTACAATAGTTTTCTAATTACAGAAAAATTGTGAAGACAGTACAAAGAGTTCCTATATATTTGACAGTTTCCCTATGTAGTATCTTATGTTGCTGTAGTATACTTGTCACAATTATTGAACCCATACAATATGTTATTAAATAAAGTTCACAACTTATTCAAATTTCCTTATATTGTATTTAATATTCTTTTTGTCTTCCAGAGTCTCATCAGGATATCATGTTGCATTGAGTAGTCATGTCTCCACAGGCTTTTCTTGGCTGCGACTCTTACTCACGTTTTCCTTGGTTTTGCCCACCTTACAGTTTACAGTAGTGGTCAGGTATTTTGTAGTATGTCCCTCACTTGGGCTTTGCTTGATGCTTATCTCCTGAGAAAACTAGGGATATGTATTTTGGGGAGGAAGGCCACAGAGATGAAGTGACATTCTTTTCACATCATATCAATGCTACATACTATCAAAAGGGCTTATCACTGTTGATGTTAATTTTAATCACCTGGCTAAGATATTCTTTTTCAGGATTTTGACTTTAAAGTTACCCTTTATGCTTTTCCTTCTCATAAAGTGCTCTTTGAAATGAAGTCACTCTGTGCAGCAGACATTTAAAAAGCAGGAAATTATGGTGACAGAGTATCTGTATAAATTATTTGCAGTTCTTTTATTTTCAGAGTTTGGAATTATAGCACTCCTATAAATCTTATTACTAATGGTGCCACAAATTGTGTACTACTGATATGTATTAGTGCACAACTTAAAGCATGTGGACATGAGCTGTATTTGAAAAAACATTCAGATGGAAGAGCTACCTGATTTGAAGTGAATCTTAATTGGAACTTAATGATGCCTCCTAGTAATTTACTATTTTAGCTGAACCTACAGTATCAGCTGTAGCCCAGAAAATATAAGAGCTACAATTCGTACAATTCAACATCAGCTGCCAAGGCCCACCTGGACTGCACCTGCAAAACCAGCTGTGGTTTCTTTGCTCTCACAATTCATGTCAGTGTTTTTCAGCCAATGCATCACTGGTTTCGAATTTTATACTGTTCCTCTCTCAGTCCTCCACCCCTCTAGTTTCTAAATGATAGAGAATAATTAGGTGAGGTTTAAACTCTCAGGATTATTCAGGGTTTGTGGAGAGTAGGAAGGTTTCTTCCAGGTTACAGCACAATTTAAGGAGCCTGGCAAGAAGCATCCAATATTAGCAAGTAGAAAAGCAGCATAAGTATGAGGTTGGAACTTCCCACGATACTTAGTACATGGAAAAAAATGTAGAACATACCAAAAAAAAAGCAAATTGTAAAAAAATTTCACAAATAAAAATACTGTTATGAAAATTATAATTCACATTTTTAATATTTTTTATTGTAAAATGTATAAAATTTGCCATTTAACCTCTTAAGTGTACAATTCAGTGGCATTAATTGTATTTACAGTTTTGTGCAACAATCACCACTATTTTCAAAAATTTTCATCAATCCAAACAGAAACTCTGGCAATTAGTAACAACTCCCCATTTTTTATTCCTAATCCATCCCCTAGTAAACTCTAAATCTTGTCTCTGTGAATCTCCCTGTTCTAAATATTTGTATAAGAGGAATCATACAACATTGACCCTTTTGTGTCTGGCTAATTTCACTTTGCATAATGTTTAAAAGCTTCATCCATATAGTGACATGTATGAGAACTTCATTTCTTTTTTATGGCTCAATTATATTCCACAGTATGCACACACACCCCATTTTGTTTATCCATTCATCTGTTGATAGACACACGTGGGTTATTTCCTCCTTTTGGCTGTTATGAATAATGCTGCTATAAACACTAGTGTGCATTTATCTGAATTCATGTTTTACATTCATTGGGATACCAAATTAAAATGCTGGGTCATATGGTAATTCTGTTTAACATTTTAAGGTATCACCAAACTGTCTTCCACAGCAGCTGCATCATTTTAAATGCAGACCAACAAAGTATGATTCTCCAAATTTCCCAGTTACTCGTCAACTCTTGTTCTACATTTTCTAACTATAGTGATACTAGTAGGTATAACATTATGTCATTGTGATTTTGATTTGCAATGGCCTAAAAACTAATGGTTTTTTAATAACTTTCATGTTGTACTCATTGGCCATTTGCATATCTTTAGCAAAATGTCTATTCAAATCCTTTGCCTGTTTTTAATTGGGTTGTTTTGTCTTTTTGTTGTAGAGTTGTAGTTTTTTAATGTCTTGATATAAATCTCTTACAAGATACATACTTCACAGTACATTATCTCATTTTGTAAATAAGTTATTTCACTCTCTTAGTGATGTTTTTATTATCTAAAGGTTTTAATACTTTTTAAAACTTGTACTGTGAATATGATATGCCCTGTGATTAACAAATTTATTTATTACTTAAACAACTTAATTTTTAAAAATAATTGCATGAATATTTTTGTCCTATTTGTTCCATTCCTACTTCGTGAACACCAATTATCTGTTTGACAGATTGTCATTTTCCATGCTTCATACAAATTCTTTTTTCTTCTGCATTTTTTTCTTTCCAATCTTTGTGAATGTATTTAATTTTCTTGCCTTGATATTCTGACTAGAACCTCCAGTATAATTTATTTATTTATTTATTTATTTTTTGAGATGGAGTTTTGTTCTTGTACCTCAGGCTGGAGTGCAATGGCAGGATCTCAGCTCACTGCAACCTCTGCCTCCTGGGTTCAAGCGATTCTCCTGCCTCAGCCTCCTGAGTAGCTGGGATTACAGGCACCTGCCAGCACACCCAGCTAATTTGTGTATTTTTAGTAGAGACAGGGTTTTACCATGTTGGCCAGGCTGGTCTCGAACTCCTGACCTCAAGTGAACCACCCACCTCAGCATCCCAAAAATGCTGGGATTACAGGCTTGAACCACCGCACCCAGCCTCTCGTATAATATTAAATAATGGATGTGTTCCCAATCTTAGGGACAAGCAGCCTTTCACTATTGCGTACAATTTTACTTATACATTTTTATTTCTATATTTTTAGCTTTATTGAGATAAAAATATTAAAAATTCAAGGAGCACATGTAGATTGCATATACATAGCAGAATTATTACCACAATAAAATTAATTAAAATATCAATCCACTGAATTTATTTACTATTCACTTGTGTGCACTGGAGAGGACACTTAAGATCTACTCCCTTAGCAAATGTCAAGTAAGTATTACACAATTTTTTATTATAGTCACCATGCTATAATTTAGATTCTAGAACTTACACATCTTATAAGTAAAACTTTGTACCTTTGACCAAAATCTCTTTATTTCCCCCATTTCCCACCCTTGGCAACCACCAACCACCATTCTACTCTCCGCTGTTGTGAGTTAGATTTTTTTTTAGATTCCATGTATAAGTGAGATCATACAGTATTTGTATTTTTGTGTTTGGCTCATTTCATTTAGCATAATGCCCTCATTTTATAGCTGAATAATATGTCACTGTAATAAATACATACACACACACACACAACCATATGAAGATTTTGGTTTGACTTGCTTTTTTTCTTTAAGATGTAAAGTTAGGTTGTAAATTTAAGATTTTTCTGCTTTTTAAAATTTGTTGGTTATAGTTAAAATATATCTCTAAGTACTGCATTTTCTATGACCCATGTGACTTCATATGTGTTGTTTTTCTTTCATTTCTCTCAAGACATTTTCTAATATTTTCTAATTTCCCTTGTGTTTTATTCTTCGATCAATTTGTTTAAAAGTTTGTCGTTTAATCTTCATATATTTGTGAGTTTTCCAGTTTCTGTTACTAATTTCTGGTTACAATTTTTGTGTTCAGAAGGAAAATACATTGTAATATTTAAGTCTCCTTAAATTTGTTAAGGCTTGTGTTTTGGTGTAAGCTATGGTATATGCTGGAAAATGTTCTATGTAACTCTTGCCCTATCTAGAACTTCCAGTTATATGTTGAATACAAAAATGGGTCTTCTGTGTTGGGCGGAATAGTTTGTGTATATATCTGTTAGGTTTAATTGGTTTATTATATTGTTCATGTCCACTATTTTCATACTGGTTTTCTGTCTGTTTCTTCATCTCATTATTAAGAGACATCCAAGTGCTCTTTTGGTGACTGTTTTCATGAGCTATCTATTTTTATTATTTTACTTTTAGCCTCTTCGTGTCTTTGGATCTAAAGTAAGTTTCTTGTAGGTGGCACATACAGATAGATCATTTCTTTAAATTGTTCTACTAAACTTTGCCTTTTAATTGAAGATTTGATGCATTTTATTACTTATAAGAAAGCAATTACTTAACATTTATCCATTTGTTTTATGTTTGATGCATATGTTTTTTGTTTCTCAATTTTTCAATTATTTCATTTTTGTAATTAGTTGATATTTTTGTAGTGTACCACTTTGATTACCTCCTTTCTCTTATGTGTATTTTAATTTTGTAGTGGTTACCTTGGGGATTACAATTAAGATCTTACTTAAGATCTTACATTTATAACAACCTAGTTTTAATAACATCAACTTTATTTCAGCAGTATACAAATACTCTGCTTCTACACATCTTCATCTACGTCTCTATATTGTTGTCACTGACTACATCTTTATACATTACATACCCATTGACAGAAGTTTATAATTATTGTTTTGTGTTTTTTATTGTACTCTAAGTTTTTGGGTACATGTGCACAATATGCAGGTTTGTTACATATGTATACATGTGCCATGTTGGTGTGCTGCACCCATTAACTCGTCATTTAACATTAGGTAAATCTCCTAATGCTATCCCTCCCCCCTACCCCCACCCCATAACAGGGCCCGGTGTGTGATGTTCCCCTTCATGTGTCCATGTGTTCCCATTGTTCAATTCCCACCTATGAGTGAGAACATGCGGTGTTTGGTTTTTTGTCCTTGTGATAGTTTGCTGAGAATGATGGTTTCCAGCTTCATCCACGTCCCTACAAAGGACATGAACTCATCCTTTTTATGGCTGCATAGTATTCCATGGTGTATATGTGCCACATTTTCTTAATCCAGTCTATCTTTGTTGGACGTTTGGGTCGGTTCCAAGTCTTTGCTATTGTGAATAGTGCCACAATAAACATACGTGTGCATGTGTCTTTATAGCAGCATATTTTATAATCCTTTGGGTATATACCCAGTAATGGGATGGCTGGGTCAAATGGTATTTCTAGTTCTAGATCCCTGAGGAATCGCCACACTGACTTCCACAATGGTTGAACTAGTTTACAGTCCCACCAACAGTGTAAAAGTGTTCCTATTTCTCCACATCCTCTCCAGCACCTGTTGTTTCCTGACTTTTTAATGATCACCATTCTAACTGGTGTGAGATGGTATCTCATTGTGGCTTTGATTTTCATTTCTCTGATGGCCAGTGATGATGAGCATTTTTTCATGTGTCTGTTGGCTGCATAAATGTCTACTTTTGAAAAGTGTCTGTTCATATCCTTCGCCCACTTTTTGATGGGGTTTGTTTTTTTCTTGTAAATTTGTTGGAGTTCTTTGTAGATTCTGGATATTAGCCCTTTGTCAGATAAGTAGATTACAAAATGTTTCTCCCATTTTGTAGGTTGCCTGTTCACTCTGATGGTAGTTTCTTTTGCTGTGCAGAAGCTCTTTAATTAGATCCCATTTGTCAATTTTGGCTTTTTTTTGCCATTGCTTTTGGTGTTTTGGACATGAAATCCTTGCCCATGCCTATGTCCTGAATGGTATTGCCTAGGTTTTCTTCTAGGGTTTTTATGGTTTTAGGTTTAACATTTAAGTCTTTATCTTGAATTAATTTTTGTATAAGATGTAAGGAAAGCATCCAGTTTTAGCTTTCTACATATGGCTAGCCAGTTTTCCCACCACCATTTATTAAATAGGGTATCCTTTCCCCATTGCTTGTTTTTGTCAGGTTTGTCAAAGATCAGATAGTTGCAGATATGCGGCATTATTTCTGAGGGCTCTGTTCTGTTCCCTTGGTCTATATCTCTGTTTTGGTACCAGTACCATGCTGTTTTGGTTACTGTAGCCTTGTAGTATAGTTTGAAGTCAGGTAGCATGATGCCTCCAGCTTTGTTCTTTTGGCTTAGGATTGACTTGGCAATGCGGGCTGTTTTTGGGTTCCATATGAACTTTAAAGTAGTTTTTTCCAATTCTGTGAAGAAAGTCATTGGTAGCTTGATGGGGATGGCATTGAATCTATAAATTTCCTTGGGCGGTATGGCCATTTTCATGATATTGATTCTTCCTACCCATGAGCATGGAATGTTCTTCCATATGTTTGTGTCCTCTTTAATTTCGTTAAGCAGTGGTTTGTAGTTCTCCTTGAAGAGGTCCTTCACATCCCTTGTAAGTTGGATTCCTAGGTATTTTATTCTCTTTGAAGCAATTGTGAATGGGAGTTCACTCATGATTTGGCTCTGTTTGTCTGTTATTGGTGTATAAGAATCCTTGTGATTTTTGCACATTGATTTTGTATCATGAGACTTTGCTGAAGTTGCCTATCAGGTTAAGGAGATTTTGGGCTGAGACAATGGGGTTTTCTGGATATACAATCATGTCATCTGCAAAGAGTGACAATTTGACTTCCTCTTTTCCTAATTAAATATCCTTTATTTCCTTCTCCTGCCTGATTGCCCTGGCCAGAACTTCCAACACTATGTTGAATAGGAGTGGTGAGAGAGGGCATCCCTGTCTTGTGCCAGTTTTCAAAGGGAATGCTTTCAGTTTTTGCCCATTCAGTATGATATTGGCTGTGGGTTTGTCATAGATAGCTCTTATTATTTTGAGATACGTCCCATCAATATCTAATTTACTGAGAGTTTTTAGCATGAAGAGTTGTTGAATTTTGTCAAAGGCCTTTTCTGCATCTATTGAGATAATCATGTGGTTTTTATCATTGGTTCTGTTTATATGCTGGATTACGTTTATTGATTTGTGTATATTGAACCAGCCTTGCATCCCAGGGATGAAGCCCACTTGATCATGGTGGATAAGCTTTTTCATGTGCTGCTGGATTCGGTACTTCCTGGTTTAGTACCCAGGAAGCACATCCAGGAGGGTGTATGTGTCGAGGAATTTATCCATTTCTTCTAGATTTTCTAGTTTATTTGCATAGAGGTGTTTATAGTATTCTCTGATGGTAGTTTGTATATATGCACCCAATACAGGAGCACCCAGATTCATAAAGCAAGTCCTTAGAGACCTACAAAGAGACTTAGACTCCCATACAATGATAATGGGAGACTTTAACACCCCACTGTCAACATTAGACAGATCAACGACACAGAAAGTTAACAAAGATATCCAGGAACTGAACTCAGCTCTGCACGAAGCGGACCTAATAGACATCTACAGAACTCTCCACCCCATATCAACAGAATGTACATTCTTTTCAGCACCACACCACACCTATTCCAAAATTGACCACATAGTTGGAAGTAAAGCACTCCTTAGCAAATGTAAAAGAACAGAAATTATAACACACTGTCTCTCAGACCACAGCGCAATCAAACTAGAACTCAGGATTAAGAAACTCACTCAAAACTGCTCAACTACATGGAAACTGAACAACCTGCTCCTGAATGACTACTGGGTACATAATGAAATGAAGGCAGAAATAAAGACGTTCTTTGAAACCAATGAGAACAAAGACACAACATACCAGAATCTGTGGGACACATTCAAAGCAGTGTGTAGAGGGAAATTTATAGCACTAAATGCCCACAAGAGACAGCAGGAAAGATCTTAAATTGACACCCTAACATCACAATTAAAAGAACTAGAGAAGCAAGAGCAAACACATTCAAAAGCAGCAGAAGGCAAGAAATAACTAAGATCAGAGCAGAACTGAAGGATATAGAGACACAAAAAACCCTTTAAAAAAATCAATGAATCCAGGAGCTGTTTTTTTTGAAAAAATCAACAAAATTGATAGACTGCTAGCAAGACTAATAAAGAAGAAAAGAGAGAAGAATCAAATAGATGCAATAAAAAATGATAAAGGGGATATCACCACCAATCCCACAGAAATACAAACTACCATCAGAGAATACTGTGCTTTTTCTTTAAATTCATATAGAAAATAAAGAGGAGTTTCAACCCCAAAGTTTAGTAATATTGCCATTTAAATTTACATATGTAATTACCTTATCATTTTTTAAAAAATTATACAAATTTAAGTTGATGTCTAGAGTCCTTTTGTTTCAGCCTAAGTTATTTATAGGGCAGGTCTACCAATAATAAACCCTCTTATATTTAGTTTATCTGTGCATGCATTAATTTATTTTTTCATTCTTTAACAAGATGGATATAAAATTATTGTTTTACATTAGAAAATTGTGCAAGTTTTAGAATTATTGATTGTCTCTCTTTTTTTTTCTTTTACAACTTTAAATATGTCATCCCACTGCTTTCTGGTCCTCATGATGTTTGATGAGAAATCATCTATAAATTTTACTGGGGATCCCTTCTATGTGAGGATTTGCTTCTTTCTCGCTGCTTTGAAGATTCTCTATTTCTCTTTTTCCTTTGGCAACTTGATTATAATCTTTCTCTCCGTTGATTTTTTTGAGATTGTCCTAGTTGGAGATTCTTTAGCTTCTTAGGTATGCAGTTCATATTTTCAGATTGGAGAAGGTTTTGACCACTATTTCTTCAGATATTTTTTCTATTTTCTTCCGCTTCTTCTGAGACTCCTATAAAGTGTAGGTTGGTCCTCTTGTCCCAAATGTCACTTAAATTCTAATCACATTAAAAAAATTCATTTTTATTTTTGCTACTAAAATTGTATTATCAGTTGTTCAATATTCATCTTCACTGATTCTTTTTTCTATCTACTCAAAACTGTTGAATCCATTTAGTGATTTTTTAAAAAGTGTAGTTATTTTACTTTTTAGTTCTAGAATGTCTGTTTGGTTCCTTTCTACCATTTCTATCTCTTCATTGACAATATCATTTTGTTCATAAGTCATTTTTTAAAAATGTTATTTAGTCCTTCAGGTTCTTGAACATATTTAAAATAGTTGATTTAAAGTTATTGTTTAGTAAGTTAAGTGCCTATGATTTCTCGTGGACAGTTTTTGTCAATCTATTTTTTCTTTTATTTGTATATACTTAAGGGGTACAATTTCAGTTTTGTTATGTGGCTATATGATGCAGTGGTGAAGTCTGGCATTTTAGTGTAATCGTCACACAAATAATGTACATTGTGACCATTAAGTATTTTCTCATCCCTTACTATTCTCCCACCCTGTCACCTAAGTCTCCAATGTCTATTATTTCACACTTTATGCCTATTTGTGCAAATTATTTAGCTTCCACTTATAAATGAGACCATGCAATATTTGAATTTCAGTTTTTAAGTTGTTTCACTTAAGATATTTCAGTTCCATCCATGTTGCTCCAAAAAAAATACACCATTTTATTCCTTTTTACGGCTAAATAGTATTCCATTTTATGTGTGTATATGTATTTGTGAATTATATAATATATACCATATTTTCTTTATTCATCCATTGAAGGACAGTTAGGTTGATTCTGCGTCTTTGCTATTGTGAATATTACTGCAATAAACATATGCGTGCAGGGATTTTTTAATACAACTTTTTGTGTGTGTGTGTGGGGGATACCCCACAGTGAGATTGCTGGACTGAATGGTAGTTCTATTTTTGTTCCTCTGAGAAATCTCCACACTGGTTTTCAAAGAGTTTGCACTAATTTATATCCCACCAATGGTGTATAAGCATTCTTTTTCACTGTGTACCTTGCCAACATAATTTTTCTATTCTGTAGTAATAGTCATTCTGACTAGCGTGAGCCGGTACCTCACTGTGGCTTTAATTTGCACTTCTCTGATGATGAGTGGTGTTGAGTATTCTTTATATTCTTGTTGCCCATTTGTATGTCTTCCTTTGAAAAATATCTATGCATGTTCTTTGCCCACTTTATGATAGGGTTATTTGGTTTGTTGTTGTTGTTCTTTGAGTTCCTTATAAATTTTCAATATCAATCTTCTGTCAGTTGCACTGTTTGCAAATATTTTTTAATCTGCAGGTTGTCTGTTAACTCTTGATTATTTGTTTTACTGTGATTTGTTTATTTTTGGTTTTGTTGCTTGTGTTTTGTTTTTCAGGGCTTAGTCAGAAATTATTTGCCTACACTATTTTTTATATGCATTGTAGCTTAAGTTTTTTTTTTTTTTTCTGGTCGTTCTTAATGAACTTTGGACTATTACAATTTGATAGCATTATATATCAGATTATCTCTCTTTCTCAAGGTTTGATTATCTTGATTGTTGAAGGCTACCTTTGTTTATTCAGTGTTTTGACAGGTATTTTGTTGAATGTCAGGAGCTTAATCTTTGAGGATTGACCCAGTGCCAGGGCACTCCTTTAACACTTAAGGGGGCCATTTGTAATTCTGCCTCAGGTTCAGCTTTTACTTCCTTCTTACACTGAGCTTATAGATCAGCCAGTGATGAAAACTTAAGTCTCTTTTGGGCAGTTGTCATCTCCTGGACATACAAATTGCTTTCTAGCTTCTCCAGTACAGAAAAGCACATTCAAAGCCAAAATTTTTTGAAAAAACTCATTTCACATCTTCTCTTTTCGTCTTACTCCTTAGACTATGTATTGTATGTCATAACCATAATATTTCACTCCTATAAGTTTTGGGTTTCTAAATCACTTTTTAATGTTATTGAAAAATGTCTACCCGTGGCTGGGCACGGTGGCTCACGCCTGTTATCCCAGCACTTTGGGAGGCCGAGGCGGGTGCATCATGAGGTCAGGAGATCGAGACCATCCTGGCTAACACGGTGAAACCCCGTCTCTACTGAAAATACAAAAAAATTAGCCGGGCGTGGTGGCGGGCACCTGTAGTCCCACCTACTCCAGAGGCTGAGGCAGGGAGGCAGGAGAATGGCACGAACCCAGGAAGCGGAGCTTGCAGTGAGCCTAGATCGCGGCCACTGCACTCCAGCCTGGGCGACAGAGAGAGACTCTGTCTCAAAAAAAAAAAAAAAAAGAAAGAAAAAGAAAAATGCCTACCCGTTTTCTACGCTGATTGTGTTTCGAGCTAAAAAAAAAAAAAAAAAACAAAAAAAAACAGATATGAATGCCTTATGTGAGCCCTTCTGTCTCCAGATATATCACAACAGACAAGTTATATTATTAATATACAAGCGAGACTTTAAACAATGTGAATTAAAGAGGGTAATATTTTAGTACCAAAATACAGAATTCCAAATTATCCTATTAATCACATTAAATATTATTTATAAACCATAATTAATGCATTCATATTTATATTAATATTTGAATATAAATTATAGTATTGATTAATATTTATATTGATAATCTATTAATATTACTTCAATACATAAACATCAAAATGATAGAACTAGAAAGATGCAAATTCATAATTATAATGGAACATTTTTAACAGATCCAATAAAACACAAGACCAATATCACTACATCTTACACCTATAATACACCAATCTTACAAATATTGATTACTTAATGGATCATAATGCAACTTCAACAATCTTCCAAGGGTTGAAAATGTATGCAGTAATTGTAGGACACCAAAAATAATTATGCTGATGTCTAGACAAGGCCTTAATGTGTTGTGATATTCAATATTCTTCTAAATAGAAAACAGGTCAAAGAGGAAATCATGATAGAAATTAATAGAAAATATTTTAAAATGAAAGCTAAACATTGTAATGTAACTAAATCCATACATAACAGACCTGTGGCATCTCGTGTGTGTATCATAAAAGAGAAAGACTGAAAATAAATATGTTAAAAATAATCCAACTCAAAATACCAGAAAGAGTTCAAAGTAAATTAAAAATAGGAAAAATATTACAATGTAGAGCAGAGCATAATATAATGAAACTAAAACTAAGCATAAATAAACACATCTTTTAAAATATTGTTAGTTTCAAGTCTTTTAAAATATTGTTAGTTTCAAGTGACAAAAATGATACATGTGTAGGAAGGCTGATCAGGTAGAAGACAACATGTGTAGGAAGGCTGATCAGGTAGAAGACATACAACCAAAATCAGAATGATAAACAGCCATTAGCACCAGATTCTGCCAAAAATAAAACCTATCATGTTATGAATGATTTTTATCATGAAATAAAAACTTAGCTTTAAATAACAAATAGATGAAATAGAAAACACATAAACCTTACAACTCTTATATATTAATTCAATTATAAAATAATTCAACTCCTTACCCTTGCCATATAAAAAATATAAATGTTGCCTATTTAATGATTCATGATGCAAATAATGATTTAACTATAAAACAATTATATGAATACAATGACAGCAATATTAAAAATATTTGCCACTAAAGAAATTGAAGGCCTATATAATTTCCCCTGCAAACTTCAATAATGCTAAAGGAAAAGCAACAGAACTATCTTATAAACTGTTGCAGAGTATAAACAAAACAGAAAATATATCACAATTCATTTTCTGAGGCTAACATAACATAACCTCTTTACCAATAATTGAGAAGACAATGCAGGGAAAAGTCATTATAGGTAACTAATTCAAGAACACAGTGGAAATATTAAGCAAGATATTAGCAAACTGATCAAAACATACATTGTAGCCTACTTGGTTTAAATTCAATTCATTTTTACACTAGAAAATCAAATATCGTAATTTATCTGAGATGTTGAATAAGAAAAATAGTCTGTCACAATAAATGCAGAAAAAGCTTTTGACTAACTGCAATACATATTAATAAGGAAAATGCTCTTAGGAAATCAGAAATGAGTGAAACTTCCACAACCTGAAAATAGTTACCTCCAAAAGCCAATAGCAAATATATTCACCAGGAAATATTATTTTTCCTCAGATCAGGAATGAAACAAAGATGCACACTAATGCCATTTCTATTTGACCATGAGCTAAAAGCTTTCGCCATTGACTGAAAAATTTAATAGCTTATCTGTGATCAATTATATTTCATACATATATAATAGCATTTAGTTGTCACTAAGTTTGGTTTATATCGATGACTTGTCCATTCCCCTTTTTCCTGCACTAGCTTCTTTCTCTTAAACATGTTGTGAGATACATCTATGTTGCATGTAGCTGTATTTCACTTAGTTCCATTTATAAAAAGTATTGCCGTACTATACTCTAGTTTACTTTCCATCCTACTGCTGATAGTCATTGAGTCATTTTTAGTTTGGAGTATTCATAAACAAATCTCTCAAACATTTCTGACACCTTGATGTATATATGCAAAGACTAAAGATTATTCAGAGTACCTATCTAGAGTTGGAATTGCTGGGTCATACCATACATGGACCATCAACGTTGCCAAACTGTTTGCCAAAGTCACTGTGCCATTGTACACCCTCTACAGCAAAGTAGAAGACATTTCATTTCTACATGGTATAACCAATAACACTTGCTATAATCATTTTTTTAAATTATACCAGTCTTGAATCCTGTTTAAAATTACACATTCATATTTAGAAATCTTTTCCCTTATGATTTTTGTTTTTCATCTCGTTTAAAAACTCTTTTCAAATCCAAAGAAGTTCATGATAATATTCAGGTATATCAACTGCTTAAAATCTTTATATTTTTCTCAAAGAAGCATGGAATTAATCCTTGGAAATGATATTGTATAAGAATTCAATTTTATTTTTATATAGACATGACAATGTGGTATCTCAATTTATTGAAATATCTGTTCTTTCCTTATTTATCTACCACAACATATCTCTGATATATCAAGGGTCCATATAACTATAGATCTATTTTGTGGCTCTCTTTTCTGTTCCAGCATCTGATTTCCAAATGCTTGTACCAATTCCACATTTTCTTAATCACTTTAGCTATATAAAAAGTTATGCTAGCTTATAGATAATCTCCTTCCACCTTGTTTTTCTTTAGAAATATTCTGCCTAATATACTCTCTTTACATTTATATGCATATAATGAATACATTTGTCACATTCAACAAAAATATGATATGATTGGAATTATACTGCATATACTTAAAAATCTGTGGAGACTTAATATCTTTATAAGGTGGAATTGCCAAGAACTCTGAAGGGTCTGAAATTTTATTTTACGTGTCAGCTCTCCAGTTAGCCTGCCACAGTTTCAAGAATGCTGGCTTGGGGAACACATACTTTATACTGGGCAAAGATTAGGCTGTCTAACCCTTGCCTGAGAAGGAGATATTATCTTTTTTACATGGGATGTTTATTATATTAATATAATCACAAACAACTTTGAAAAAATAGTAGGAAAAAATGGAGTTTGTGATTCTGAATGAATAACATGCAGAAACATGAGCGGCCCATGAATAGTATTTTTCCCAACAGGAATCTTTCCATCGGCAATCATGGCATATCTTAATGTTTATTTATATGTTAATATATCTAGATTTAGGAAGAATATCATCTCTAGGAGTAAAGAAGAAAATTTATATATGGAGGTTCTTCCAGGGTGCTTCTGTTTTGCAGGCAATTATCCAGATCTTGAGCTTCATGGTATTTATGTGGATATTCTCTTCATAAGTATTTCTTATAATATACATATATATTTTACAAAATTACTATGTGTAACATATCTCATGAGAAAATAAAATATGTAAAATCATTCTTAAAAAATAATATAAGTAATACAACCCAATAGGAGAGAGGACCGATATGGATTTGAGCTAACTTATAGCTTGGTTGCATTTGTCTGTTAGTCGTTGTCTGGCTGTGGTTTTTGTACACTTCTAGGGAGTATCACCCCAGGGATTCCAACTAAGAGCCTAAGGTTTGTGAAATCAATTACAAATATTTCTCAAGTACTTTTGACTTACATGCCTTATGGAAGAAAAAAGTGCAAACTATGATTTTTATTATTTTAGATCAATGGATTTTACACATGAATATCTTTGCTAAATTGATAGAGTTCTAGCCACTGTGTTTTTGCAAAAAAAAAGTATACATAGAAATGTACATAAATACATTGTCTTATCTATAATTTCAGGAGATTCATAGGTCTACATAAGAACATTCCCAGATCAACCGTGAACTCATAGTTAAAAGCCAGTTCTTTCTTCAGGGTATTCAACCTAGTTGAGGATGCAGGACACGTTTTTAAGCAATTAACAACACTAATAACAACATGAAGAACGTTCAAACTGCCAGATGAAAAGCATAACCGGTAATGACTGTAGTAGTATAGAAGAATGAAGAGTTAGAAAAATCTTGGACATTGATGAAGCGTTGATAGAGGAGATAAGATCCAAATGACAAGTAAGATGAAGAAAACTAGAGAATGAAGAGGGCTTCTATGTAAAATCAACAGATAGTGAAAAGGCAGAAAAGCAAAATAAATGCTGTTTATTTTTGGCAAAGGTGATATCGATGGGTTGAGTCAATATTTATGTATCCAATAATGTGAAAGTACTAATTGTGTAGACATAAGAGCAATGAGAGAAAATACTCAATGTTCTCAGGACACTGCACTCAAAATGAGGTCACAACTTTAGTTAAGTGATGTCAAAATTAAATCTTAAAACTATGAAAGAAAAGGAGAAGTAAATAGATGTTGGTAAGGTGAACAAGGAGGCAAAACTTTTCTGTCTATGTGGATTTAAAATTTGTTTAATGGAGACCAGGATGCTACAGAGTTACTTTTATATCAATTGTTATGCTTAGATTTTATTTTATGAAAAATTAAGACATAGGTAGAGAGAAATAAACACCATGGTGCTGACCTCAGAAGAGAAAGAAATAGCTTTGAGTTAAGATGCACTGAATTCTTACATGTTTATTTGCATTACACCAGAACATCATTCAGAAAAAGTTTGTAGTGACATAAAAATGCATATTACTATGTTTGCTAGGATTTTAAAAAACAACACCAAGGAAACATATAAAGAAACAGAAAATTGAAATGAAGAAAAATAAGGTTAAAATATATTTTGATAGAGTTCAAAATTTAAATCATAAATTTCTACAGGTCAACAAATCATAAGAAGACAATGTAGCTGTGGGTTCTCAAGATGTCAAAGAAATGTTAGTCAAATATTAGTCAATTAAGACACATTGTACCTAAAATATAAAAGTTTTAAACTAACCATGACAATTTTTGGAATTAAAACTCAACATAGTTCTTACATGTCATTTTGAACAATATGTTATGACATATAGTGACTATGAAACAATATTTTTTTGAAATTGTTTATATCTCCTTTTTTAATGGCAAACTATAGTAAAAAGTCTATGAGAGGTTAAAATTATGAAAGAACACATTGATGTAGAATTTAAGGTACAAATTTACAAATCTATCACTGTTATAAAATATGAGTTGATATTTTTATATACAAGGTATTTTAACTGTGCTTTAATAATTATAATAGCAAATGTATGCTTAATGGTATAAGTTATTTTAAAATATATAATTGTATTGCACTGTTAACAAATACATATCTAAATGACAAGGTGCATATCAATGGAATGTTTGAATTATTTAAAATTTTCATTTCCTTATTGATTTGTGTGTTCTTTGTTGATAGTGGACATACTATGTTGCCAATTATTAGATTAACAATACTGAAATCTGTGAAACGTATTTCACATGTACTTTATTATTATAGGCACAATAAAATGGTGTCAAAACAAGAGTTAAGAGAGCATCCAGCAGCTTAAGGGCAAGAACATCCTACGATCTCATTATATTTTCTGCATAAGGATGCTTGCTTGGGGGACCACTGGATATACACATGGCTTCTACTCTCCTTTTATTATAGTCATAAAGAGCAACTGAAGCTCATAAAAAGTAGCTGGCAGATTTGTAAAAGATATAACAGTTTGTTCACAGAGTTTCTATAGAGCCACCATCTAAGGAAAATTTCCCTTCCAAAGCATTGCTAGGAGCTATTTATCTTAGAATTGCCTACTTTGTCACAGTAAACTGAGTATTCCTCCTGTCATCTAGTTTGCAAAACAAGGACTAGTTCTCTTTGACTTTTTCCTCAATAACAGTAAACAGTATATACATGAAGTATGAGAATTCAATACTTATAGAGTTATAACTGTCCTGAGGTGAAGGTCAATGTGTGTGTTTGTTTGCAAGATAGTTTATGTTGTAAATTTATTAATTAATTTGCACCTATTTTATAGCCGTTCTGGACATACACATGGGCAGAAGATGTAGCCGCCTTGTGTGAAAATTTGAGAGGTATTTAACTGTCTCTGCTGATAAGCCCCATGGCCTAAAATGTTCACACTATATAATCTGACCTTTATTTTTAATGAACATAAAGACTAAGCATTATAATGTTATCTAGAAACTAATGTATAGTTGTCCAATAACAGCTGATAATAAATTCACTAAAATTAGCTTATTAAATAAGTTTCCAATGAATAAATCAACCCTTCTGGGGGATATAAAATGGCAGCAATAATTGTTGAGAAGTGTTTCAAAACATTCCAGATTATTTACTCAACCACAGAATCTGGGAAGGGGGAGTTCAGAAAATGTAGAAGGAATAAAGAAAACCCTAAGTATGTATTAGGACTGAAGAGTTCTGAAAGGAAAAGAGTAAGAGAAAAACAGAGGCAGACAGTGACAGAGAGAAACTGATAGGGTTTCCAAAGGCAGCCCAGCTGGAAGGAAACTGCCACAATCTCCCAGAAACATGAAGTAGGGGCATAATATGTGATATATGTCTTGTCACAAGGTACCTAGTCTACATCAATGGTTTATCAAAGATCTGTGTTTCTTCCAGCTCTCTACTCCATCTTCCGCTAGTATAACCCTCATTGGCTGGAATCATAATGGTATCTGCATCTGGAACTGGCCACTAGTATAACACCTACAAAATGCACAACGGCCTTCAGACCATATGAAAAGTCTACAGGGTGAGAATCTGAAAATCCAGCAATGAGGAGAAAAAAGTTATCTCCCATTAAGAACACTTTCCAGAAGCTACACAATTCCAGTTATTGATTCATCCCATTTACTAGAACCTGTTCATCTGGCTATGCCCAAAACCAAGGGAAACTGAAATAGTGGTTACCATATTCTGTAACTCAGCCTAGCCTAGCTTCAGAAGTTTTAATAAAGAAAATAAAATGTATTGAAATATTTTTATAATATCTATTCATTTCAAAATACATTTTTTGTTTCAGCTCAATCTTCCATTTTAATATTCTATCACACTCCTTCATATAAGTTCAGATGTATTTTAACTTCTTTCTGAGGGACATTGTTTCCTATAATCAAAGCAGTTCAACTATCTGCTAAGTCAGTGCTTTCCTATTATAAGCTATTTTGATTACAATCAACCTGTGCAGAACAATAGGATGCTTTAGCAATGACTAAACACCAATGAATACTTCCTTAGCTTTACATAATGAGCAAAGGAAGTATGGCCCCATAGTCTCATCTCAGTTTCCTTAAGTCACTATCAATTCAGGTGTAAAATACAGAAAACACTTACATTGAAATTTTTGATTCCTCCAAATGGAAGATAAATTATACAGCATTGTTGAGTTGTAATCTCCAAAACCAAAATTTCTGTGTTTTCCACATAAGCAACCCAAACTGAGAGTTGCATAACAGCCCAAGAACTAAACATTGACACCAGCCTCAAAAACAGACCATTGATTATCACAACAAAAACTTCAAAATGCACCGGGGCCTCGTGGGCACAGGAGGTCTTTCAGGGAGTGAGCATCATTGTGATAGGATGGAAATGCTAAGATGTTTCTCTATTCTATTAATATATTCTGTATTCTAGCAATATAGAATATAATACGTAGAATATAGTATATATAATTAGAATATATAATTAAATATAATAGAGAATATAGTAATATAATTCTATATTCTAGTAACATATTATGAACCAAGATAAAATTATTAGGTTCATAAATAATTTTGAAGGCCAGATAGACAAAGTAATGTATAACCCCAATTGAGTGTTGGTGGATAACAAAATACCATGTCACCATCAAGAAACAGGCCCATTTTAATATCTCTTGGTTTACTTAGTAGAAGTAGCAGTTGTAGTAATATTGTTAGCGTAATGCTTTATGACAGTCAAAATCAGAATTATAAAATTATTCTTACTATATAGCTTGTCCTTTTTATTTGAATCCTTAATTTTTAATTTTAAATATCCAGATTTTATAGTCTCATTTTACAGTGTACTACACACAAAGACAGACATAAACATACACACAAATCCAGTTTTTGATTTACTCATACCAATTTAAAAATACATAATTTGGCAAAGCACAGTGGCTGGTTCCTGTAATCACAGCACTTTGGGAGGCTGAGGCGGGGCGGATCACTTGAGGTTGGGAGTTCAAGACCAACCTGGCCAATATGGTGAAATACAAAACTTAAAATGCAAAAACTAAAAATACTAAAAATGCAAAAATTAGCCGGGCGTGGTAGCCCATGCCTTTAATCCCAGCTACTCAGGAGGCTGAGGCAGGAGAATTGTTTGAACCCAGGAGGCAGAGGCTGCAGTGAGCCCAGATCATACCACTACACTCCAGCCTGGGAGACATAGTGAGACTCTGTCTCTAAATAAATAAATAATACATAACTCACCAGATAAATTTTTTTGACCACTATCAGTCATTTCACCTAACTATCTTCAGGAAATTGACTTACTTCATTTGGTAAAAGTACAATGCTATTCCATGTGAATTCCCTTTAAGTTAATACACAGAATTTGTGAAGCTTTTCAACTTTCTCAGCTGATTCTTGATAATAGCATTTTTTTACTCTAACATTATAATGCACATTTGTTCGCATACACTTATTATATACTCTATTACATTTATAAATTTGAATTACATTTAAATCCCAAACAGCTTTCTCTAGTTTATTCATTGTCTCTTTTACCAACGTTACATTTTTTATGGTATGTTAGGTATGACTCAGATTTTCCTTAATCCTTACCATGATTTTTGTTGTTATAGAAATGTACATTAAGGACATCCATTTTGTATTTTTTTAAAAAAGGAAAGATGTGTAAGATTTAAATTAACAATAATGTTCATCTTTTACTATACTTTGGTTAAAAAGTAAAGAAATATGAGCTAAGTTAATATAAACCCTTTACCCCATTTTCTTAAAGGGAAATGGAAATAGATCTGTGTAATTAAAAAATTTTAAACAATTTATGGATAATTAAGTAAACATTGTGTTATTATGGCAAGTGCAGCGATTGAATAGGAAGTAATTCCCAGTGAATAAGAAGTAAATGGAATAGACTAGAGGCCTCAGAAATAAAGTCACACATCTACAACCATCTGACCTTTGACAATCTTGACAGAAAGAAGCAATGGAGAAAGGATTCCCTATTTGATAAATGGTGTTGGGAAAAGTGGCTAGCCATATGCAGAAAACTGAAACTGGACCCCTTCCTTACACGTTATACAAAAACTAACTCAAGACAGATTAAAGACTTAAATCTAAGACCTAAAACCATAAAAACCTCAGAAGAAAACCTAGGCAATCTCATTCAGGACATAGGCATGGGCAAAGATTTCATGATTACAATGCCAAAAGCAATGACAACAAAAGCCAAAATTGACAAATGGGATCTAATTAAACTAAAGAGCTTCTGCACAGCAAAAGAAACTATCATCAGTGTGAATAGGCAACATACAGAATGGGACAAAATTTTTGCAATCTGTCCATCTGACAAAGGGCTAATATCCAGAATCTATAAGGCACTTAAATTTACAAGAAAAAAACAACCCCATCAAAAAGTGGGCAAAGCATATGAACAGAAACTTCTCAGAAGAAAACATTTATGTGGCCAAAAAATGTATGTAAAACAGGTCATCATCACTGGTCATTAGAGAAATGCAAATCAGAACCACAATGGGATACCATCTCATGCCACTTAGAATGGTGATCATTAAAAAGTCAGGAAACAACAGATGCTGGAGAGGATGTGATGAAATAGGAACGCTTTTACACTGTTTGTGGGAGTGTAAATTAGTTCAACCATTGTAGAAGACAGTGTGGCGATTCCTCAAGGATCTAGAACCAGAAATACCACTTGACCCAGCAATCCCATTACAGGTATATGCCTAAAGGATTATCAATCATTCTATAAAGACACAAGCACACATATGTTTATTGCAGTGCTATTCACAATAGCAAAGATTTGGAACCAACCCAAATGCCCATCAATGATACACTGGATAAAGAAAATGTGGCACGTATACACCATGGAATACTATGCAGCCATAAAAAATGATGAGCTCATGTCCTTTGCAGGGACATGGATGAAGCTGGAAACCATCATTCTCAGCAAACTAACACAGGCATAGAAAACCAAACACCACGTGTTCTCACTCATAAGTGGGAGTTTGAACAATGAGAACACACAGACACGGTGGAGAACATCACACATTGGGGCCTGTTGGAGGGTGGGGGATTAGGGGAGGGATAGCATTAGGAGAAATACCTAACGTAGATGATGGGTTGATGGGTGCAGTAAACCACCATGTCAAGTGTATATCTATGTAACAAACCTGCACGTTCTGTGCATGTATCCCAGAACTTAAAGTATAATAAAGGAAGTAAACCATTTCCTCAAATATACTTCAATTAATAAGTAAGAAAGAAAAATGAAGAGAATCCAAATATCACCTACATTACTGATAAAATTGATTTTAAGGTAAAAATCATCTAATATGAGAAAAAAATATATTCACTAAATTCTCAGTCTAGTGTTTGTAAATTTCAACTAAAACAATTAATTGTAGAAAATACTCACTTACTTACATGGCTCCTTCTCACAGCAATCTAGAAAAACAAAAGATAAAGAAACAAATTTACCCTACATCCAGAAATCTTGATAAATTATTAAATAATTCTGACCAATTACGAAATGTAAATACTATTGCTGACTTACCAGAGAACTCAGATCATCTTTTTCTAAGGAAGTGAAAGTTGCAACTCAAACTCACTTGTATTT
The DNA here is from genome assembly GCF_000001405.40 of Homo sapiens. Classification (NCBI taxonomy): domain Eukaryota; kingdom Metazoa; phylum Chordata; class Mammalia; order Primates; family Hominidae; genus Homo; species Homo sapiens. The sequence goes on along the minus strand of NC_000013.11, from coordinate 87,423,323 downwards.
AAAGAAAATCTCTTTTCATAAAAATCATTTGTGGGAGAGAGATGTTTCCCCTAATAACTATGCTTATTACCTTAAGTAAAATCATACATCTTTTGAAGGTATTAATATGTTATGGAATATTATTATTATGTGATTTTGGTATAATAATTGCTATAAATAATGAAAATGAAAAACAACTGTGTGGCAAAAGAAAATCTCATTCACATGACATTAGATTCTATTAGCTAAACCTTTACTTGTTTTTTTTTTTTTTTTACTAGCTACACAGTTCATATCATTTGTTGCCTTAAAGTGGAAGGCTCCAGAGACAGCTTCTTATGAATACTTCTTGAAAGATCTTTGAGGTCAAAAAAGTGATTTAACCTCAGAGATCGGCCTCAAATTCCATAGAGTGCAGAAAAAGAAAAATATAATTTAATTTCTAGGACATTCAGCAGCTAGGGATTTCAACAGCTATAGGCCAACACATGATTTGTGTTGTAATAACCAGTCATGACAGCCACATATTTTGATTTATGTTTAAAAGTGCTTTATACAAAATCTTTTAAATATGCTTGGATACTTGGTAGCTTCTTTTGTGGCAATTATGCTGCATGCATGTGCACACACACACAATGCCTCAGAATTTTAAGAAAAATGATGTCATGTGGATGTATAAAGTCAATGAAGTATGTAGTTAGCAAAATTAGAAAATTAGTTAGCAAAATTACAAGGAAATCATAGTTACAATTACACAATTCTTACTACTGGTTCAGGTCTTGATCTTATACTTTATTTTCAAAACATCATTTTACAGCCAACGGGCATTTTACATTGTACAAATATTTAAGGACCATCTCTTAATTTGTAAACACTGATCCCTGGGTATTGCTCTGCACATAAAGTACACTTGAATGCTGTAAATTTTCAATTTAATTTCATATAGTGAAGTGAAAAAATGAGTCAATAAACATATACTTTGGCTGTTAGCAACAATAATGCACATCAATGGTTTTGTTTCATACATTAAAAAAGGAAATAGAATACCCATTTCTTTAAAAAATAAATGTATCTCTTTGCTGAGTGCTATGCAATATGTCAATATTCAATTAGCTCTATGTGAGAATATTAACAATTTTTATTTTACTATTTTTGTGCCCAAACATTGAGGCAAGATGTCTGCTACCAAGTGACCATGAATGAGACAATGGACAAAGATTTACTGAGTTCTGGGGTCTTCAAGATTCTCCACAGTGAAATAAGAAAATCAGAAGAAAACAAAGGCTTATTCCCATTTTTTTAGCCATAGAAACACACAAAAAAAGTTTTCCCAATGGCTACCTAAATTGGAGCTTATCTGTCTAAAATACACAAGCTTTAGGATATGGTGATATAGAATATCAGTGGATTAGAAGATTTCGAAAATGCCTTGAAACTCAAATTCTATTTTGACTGTTGAGAATCAAATACATCTTTAATGGGTTAATGTTGGCAATAATCGAAAGTGTTTTAGCTAACATTCATGTGTAAACAAGGACAAACATTGGCAAATGTGATAATTACTACATAAGTTGTAAATTCATATGGAAAATGCATTTACTAATTCAGTCAGGGATAGGCTGTGATGTTAGGCATAAGAAATCCGTGCAATGTGATGTACAAGTCCCATAATATTAGGTATAAAAATCACCAATATTCTTTTTAAATAAACAAAACAAAAAAACTGAGAATGCCAAGGAAGATTTTAAAAAGGAAAGCAAATGATAGGGTACACCAAATTCCCAATTATATTGCTATCCTTGTGCTTTAACCTGTCTTTCAAAAATCTGCCAATAAGTACCTTTATTTTGTTTTGTTGTTGTTAAATAAAAGTTTAATAACTCTCAACCTAGGGTACACATTAGCAAAAAAAAAAAAAGAAGTTGAAAATATAAGTAAAGTTCTTCAAGAGATACAATATTATGAGCATCTCATAAGAATTTATTTCATAGCCACTAATGCTAAAGAAGACCCCAAAATCTTGTAAAGTGAGACTTAATTTAGTGTGCAATTTATTTATGTGCTTAGTCCTTCATATCCATGGGTTGCTCTTCCATATTCATGGGTTCCACATCAATGGATTCAATCAATGTTGGATAGAAAAGTATTCATTAAAAAATCCCATCTGTACTGAATATGTACGGACTTTTTCCTCTTGTCATTATTCCCTAAACAATACAGTATAACAACTATGTATGTGGCACTTACATTGTATTAGGTATTATAAGTAATCTAGAGATTATTTATACTATTTGGAAGGTTGTGCCTATATTACATGCAAATATTACATCATTTTATATCAGGAACTTGAGCATCCACAAATTTTGACATTTGTGAAGCTCCTTGAACTATTCTTCCATGAATATTAAGGGATGACTATGACTATTCAATGTGACCCACACAAGGTACCTCAAGTACCAGATTCACAGGCAATTTTCAATACATGAGAATTTGCTTGTTTCATTTTTAATTTTTGTTCTAGGATAGGGAAAAACTTTTGTATAAGACAGTCTTGCCTCACCAAACTCTTGCCTATGGAGATCCTAAGCATGCGGCATCTTCACAAAACCTTGGTATAATAAACTTTATTATTCACATTTTCCTTTCTCATAGTTCATCAATAAGGAACTTTTGAGACAGATAACATATAGACAGTTTTAGAGTGAAGGCAACATATCTACATAGTCAGGATATCTGCATTATAATACACATGCCAAAATAGTGTGAGGATATATTTAGGAGTCTTTCCCATCCCAATACACCTTGTTCTGGAGGCTCCTCTGCAATTATCCCATTATGAATTTTGATATGCTTCAAGATGTTCAAAACGAAATGCTTAAAAGGGCTGTATTCAAAATCTTTTAAATATGTATAATAGGCTTCTTTGTAGCCAATATAAATATGTATATACCCACATATATGCCATGTCTGCATACACACACACATATACCCTTACACATATATGCATAGTCATATATTAATTTGAGAGATAATTCAAAAGTATGAATAGAAAATAATATATAAAAAATGTCCAGCCTTCTGGCAAGCTAATCCATGACTACAATTTATATATAGTTCACATTATTTCCATCTCTAATCATCGGCTGGAGTTTTTTTTTTTTTAATTTGCTTATCATACCACTTATTTCAAACTATTCCATTTGATATAGTTAGGCTGTGTGTCCACTCAAATCTCAGCTTGAATTGTAATAATCCCCACGTGTCAAGGGTGGGGGACAGTTTTAATTGAATCATGGGGGCAGTTTCCCCTATACTGTTCTCATGGTAGTGAATAAGTCTCACGAGGTCTGATAGTTTTATAAATGGGAGTTCCCCTATACAAGCTCTCTTTTGCCTGCTGCCATGTAAGGCATGCCTTGCTTCCCCTTCGCTTTCCACCAGGATTGTGAGGCCTCCCCAGCCATTGTGGAATTGTGATTTAAATAAACCTCTTTCCTTTATAAATTATCCAGTCCTGGTTATGTTTTTATTAGCAGCATTGAGAACAGACTAATAAACCATTCTTCAGGATTTATAGTCTAAATTTTCTCAACATTGGAAGAAATTGGAGAAAAAATCTGATGCATACCAATAAACTAAAATCAAAATGCCAGATCATAGTTTAAAAGTTTTAAAATATTAAATATAGAGTGATGTTACCCAAAGTATGTTAAATAACTACTGTAAGTGTTACTTGAAACAAACAAAAAAGAATTCTGTACAGAAAAAAAAATAAAAACAAAATTGGCCTAGACACAATAAGACATGCCTGTAATCATAGAACTTTGGGAGGCTGAGGCTGGCAGATCACTTAAGACCAGTCTGGGCAACATGGAAAAACCCCACCTCTACAAAAATAAATAAATTATATATATATATATATATATATACACACACACACACACACACACACACACACATATGTATATATATACATGTATACATGTATATATGTGTGTATATATACACGTATATATGTGTGTGTATATACGTATGTGTATATATATCAGGGTCTTGTGACACGTACCTGAAATCCCAGCTACCTGGGAGGTTAAGATGTGAGGATCACCTCATTCCAGGAGGCTGAAGCTGCAATGAGCCATGAATGTGCTCCTGCACTCCACCCTGGACAATAGAGCAAGACCCTTTCTTAAAAAAAAGTAAAAACCATTGAAATGCTCTGTCTCTCATAGATAGATGGATTCATCCACAGATAGAGACATAGAAGCAGAGATAGGTCAGAGATAAGTGGATGGATACAGATATATTTTCCCCAAAACATAGGGATCAATGGAACATACTTTGGGTAAAATGAAAAAGGAGTTTACATAGTAGAAATTTTTTAAAACGTTTTTCTTTGTAGTCCTGTAACAGTCTGTTTCACACAAACTTTCCTCCATTTAATCCTAATCTTCACTCATATATAAGTAACTGAAAGCATATTTTATTTATTTATTTTGAAATCTAGTAAATATTTTGGCACATTTAAAAATATGAGGCAAAATTTTTTAAAAAGTTGAAGACTAATATGATCAGCTATCTCTCTTATGTGAAAGAAAATACTAGATTATAACCACATTCTCTATGTCAGAATATAGAAATATAAATACAAGCTTTCTTTCTCTGATCTCTTGCAAAGTTACCAGCACTGTCTTTTCTTATATAATTTATCATCTTAAAATGAAAAGTTTTTTTTCCTGTAAATAGGATAACAAAATCTTATAGAATGTTAAATTTTCAACTAAGAAGACTCAGAGAGATACATGATTTTTTTTTCTTGGGGGTGAAATCATGTCCTTTTTTTAACCATAAAATTTTGTAGGTAGTGCAGGAAATGGTAATTTGATTTGGGATTAGACCTATGACCACTTAGAAAAATACATTTTTTCTTTGTGAATACTTATGGAATAAAAATTGATAGCTATGGACAAATCTCTTTGCCTGGCTTGTCAAAAAGCAGTGCGACAAGTCTTGACAGGCAAGAGAGAGTTAAGATGATAGGTAATACCTGTTTCTGGAAAATGAATGTAATTTAAAAATACATTTTCTGTTCTGCTGACTTTGAAATATTCAAAAAGCATAAGCAAGATTTTAAACAGCATTTGTGACCCTTCAAAATATATTTGTATTGTTTTCTTCATGACATACCCTTAAAATACAATTTTCATGTATTATATGTCATTCCCCTAATAATGCATTTAATATCTTCAGTTGTTAAAGAGATTCCATTTAGAAGTGTCAATTCCTTTGAGCAAAGTATATTTAATGTCAATAAATTAGTACTAACAATATGCAAATAGTAGTCTTTTCTTTTATAATCTGGTCTCATGCATATTACATCAACGCTTTGTAATAGCTATATAAATTACTAGAAGCATTTAAATTTTGTCTTAGAGTTTTACAATGGCCTTTCCTTATAATTTTATTCCTGTTTTATACAACATCCTTTGAGGACTAATAAGGTAGGTATCATCATTCCTATTTTAAAGATGGGAGTAGTTGTCTACTAGTATGTTCAAGACATTGGAGTATGTGAGTTAAAAACACAACTCAGCTAAGGGACACAAATGCAACCTAAAGAAAAAGGCAGAAATTAAACTCAGTTACTTAAGCATTACAAAGAAAATTATAAGACCTTAAGTAATATGACTAGGAGGTGGGGAGAAATATTATAAAGGTAAAGCAGGAAGAGTACAACCGTGCTGAGAATGGGGCTAGAGGTTCTTGGTCATGTTGATACCAGAACAAATGATCTGAGTTAACAAGTCCTCTCATCATCAGGCAGAATCTCATCAGAAAGGGCTTCTCAAATGCTTCAGTTAGCATCACATAAATTAAGCTAAACACTAATCCATCACACTAACTCTCACATACACACAGACCCACACACATAGACACACACACAGAGAGAAACACACACACACAAATACACCCTTATTTCATCCATCTATCACCCTGTTGCTTACTATGGCCCTTTTAGGTGTTGATATTCTAAATATTAATGGTACTGACTTCATTGTTATTGAACAGCACTTTTGTCATTTCTCTACCATACCTCATTACTTCCAGGACTTTAGAAATGTTGAGACGTTGAAATAAAGAAGCAGTGTGTATGTAGGTACATGTATGTGTATACCCAACACACACACGTATGTTTTACTACTCAGGTCTGAGTCCTCTCATTCTATACTAATTGCAGAAAAATTGCTGTAACTATATATTATAAAAATATTTATTCAGGCATAATACAATAAATGATACATACCTAAAGAGTACAGTTCAGTAGGTTTTGACATACATGTACACTCATGAAACTATCATCACAATCAAGAAAATGAAAATTTCCACTATCCCCAAAGTATCTTTGTGCTTAAGGAAACTGCTATAAGGTTTTGCAAACTCTTTTCATAGTTAGGCTTACCTCTGTTTGACAGGTAGATCTGAAAGGAGCAAGAAACAGGTTTCATTGAATAAAAATAACCTGCCTAATGTTGCTCAGCAACCACAGAATAATAATTTTAAGAGGCAAGATTCAAAAAACAGTGGGCTTCTGATTAAAACATACATGAGAGTGATGATACTTTGAACAAAAAAAAATGTGTATTAATAACATATAAGAAAATCTAAAAACCTTCAAGGAAGACAGACAGTCTGCAATTTACCATGGTTTGACTTACAATTTTTTTGACTTTATGATAGTGTAAAAATGATATTCATTCACTATGCTCCTTGATATATGATGGGGTTACATTCAGATAAACCCATCCTAAATTGAAAATATTGTAGGTGGAAAATGCACTTTTCAATTACAATATTTTTAACTTACCATGAATCTATTCAGATGGAAGCTCCTTGTAAGTGAAGGAGCATCTGTAATAAAATTTTTAGAATAATAATAATGATAATATATAAACAAAGAATAATATGGTCACTTCTGAGGACTATTGATGGCTATAAAAATCAAATGGGATACATATCTTAAAGTATGGAGAAAAGTTGTTGAATCTGAGATTATGATGGAAAGATTACATAATTAGCACATATACACATCAAAATATAGATCTATAGTATATATCTGCTAATTATGTAATCTTTCCATCATGATCTCAGATTAATAAAGGAATAATACAATTAATAAATGAATAAATACAATGAGGAAGAGGAAATTTTCATAAATATAATTTTTATAAATATTTACAAATAAAGGAATAAATACAATGAAGAAGAAATTATTTCATAAATTTAATTTTTATAAATATTTACAAATAAAGGAATAAATAAATACAATGAGGAAGAAGAAATTATTTTATAAACATATAAAATAATTTCTCATGACAAAACCTGATCCATGTTGAAAAATTTGATTTGGTTTCGTGCAGAATTGATCAGAAAAAAAGTATTGATAAAATTATCAAATACTAAAGTTAAAGACAAAATATTACTAACCACCATAGAGAAAAAAGTAACTTGCAAAAGAAAAATTATAATACCAGCATTTGACATTTCAGCTAGAAAATAACACAAGGAAATCCGTAAAGAAAAGGATAACAAATCCATCATACTATGCCTATCCATAATTTGAGTAAAAAAATGGAGATTTTTTCATACCCTCAGAAATCCAATTATATTTTATATCTTTACCTTACTGAGGAAAATAATTTAGTTATGTCAGAAACCAAACAACATTCCAGAATTGAAACCTACAGAACAGGATACAAAAAGAGGGATTGTGAAAGAATTAAATTTTGGTGGAAGGTGATCAACAAGGAATATGTTATTTAAATTGTGAATTAGGACTTTTGAATATGAAGAGATATAGTATCGAGTATTACTAATTTGCTCAAGTAGTCAGCAAACTACTCCAGCCCACTGCCTGTTTTGTAAATAATATTTTATTGGAACAAAACCATGCCACTGATTTCTGCAGTGTTTATGGCTGCTTTAGCACTATAATGTCAGGTGTGAGTATGGGACGAAGACTGAATCCACCCCCAAAACTTATTTGTTATTTGACTCTTTAAAGGAAAAAAAACAAAACAAAACAAAACCCTGGTCTAGACTAACCTAAAAATACTACATTTTCTCAGCAAAACCTAAGACTTTGAGGCAGCAAACAATAAATTCAATATCTTATCGATGAGTTGAGGGAAGTAATAGAGAAGTACAAGTATTTTAAGGCCACGTTTTAAATTGGATATCATTCCAAAAGAGATGAATAGAGAAGAAGAGTAGAGGAAGAAACAATGTATCTTACAAAAATGGATTCTGTTTTCAAATATTAGTAGAATATTATATAGCAATACCTAGCAAGTAAACATTGCCTTCTTGGAAAATAGGTAAAATACAAAATTACAGTTAGATAGAATGAATAAATTCAAGAGATCTATTGTACAGCATGGTGACTACAGTTAATGATGATATATTGTATTCATGAAAACCTTAAGACAGCGGATGTTAAATGCTTCCACACACAAATAAAGATAACTATGTGAATTACTGTATTTGTTACTTTGCTAGATTTAACCATTCTACAATGTGTATATACTTCAAACATCATGGCTTACACAATAATTATATACAATTTTGTCAATTATAAAAAATGTGGCCGGGCGCGGTGGCTCACGTCTGTAATCCCAATACTTTGGGAGGCCGAGGCGGGCGGATCATGAGGTCAGGAGATCGAGACCACGGTGAAACCCCATCTCAACTAAAAATACAAAAATTAGCCAGGCGTGGTGGCGGGCGCCTGTAGTCCCAGCTACTCGGGAGGCTGAGGCAGGAGAATGGCGTGAACCCGGGAGGCGGAGCTTGCAGTGAGCCGAGATGGTGCCACTGCACTCCTGTCTGGGTGACAGAGCAAGGCTCTGTCTCAAAAAAAAACAAGTGAATAATAATTACTAAAATTAAAAATAATCCTAATGAATAGCAGCAAATTGAATACACCAAGAATAAATGAATAGGTAAATAAAAGTATACGTAGTAAGTAGTGTATATCAAATGATAAAAAAGTTTGAATAATCATTTATAACAATTCTTATGAAAACTAGAACTAAGCATGATTTCTTATAAAAGATACTCTTAGATTAGAAAATAAGGACCTACTATTACACTACTAACAGAAAAACTTAACCAAATTAACAAATTAAGGAGGAAAATATAGAGATGATAAATAATAATAAGCAAAACAAAATTAAATAAAACAAATGAAAGCATAGGCAGGGTTATAGCAACAAATTGATCCCCAAGTTTCAGTGAATCAAAGCAAAGAAGGCAATTTCTGACTTATGTAATATTTCTGAATGTGTGATAAATTCTCCTTGTTATTTGATTCAGCCAAGAGAAGAGTGAAGAGTTTGGAGGACCACTTAAGGGAGGGTCCGCCAGGAGGCTACACACATGTCACCAGAGATCTTAATCGTGTGGTCATAGCCCAGTGGACAAAATTACACAGTGAAGATGATTTTGTAACCCAGCATCACTTGTCTCACTTTATGGAGAGTCTAACGTGCTCATACTTTTATTATTATTATTATACTTTAAGTTCTGGGAAACATGTGCAGAACGTGCAGGTTTGGTACCTAGATATACACATGTCATGGTGGTTTGCTGCACCCATCAACCCCTCATGTACATTAGATATTTCTCCTAATGCTATCCCTCTCCTAGTGCCCTACCCCCTGACAGGCCCCAGTGTATAATATTCCCCTCCTTGTGTCCATATGTTCTCATTGTTCAACTCCCACTTATGAGTGAGAACATATGGTGTTTGGTTTTTGGTTTTCTCTGCCTGTGTTAGTTTGCTGAGAATGATGGTTTCCAGATTCATCCATGTCCCTGAAGAGACATGAACTCATCCTTTTTTATGGCTGCATAGGATTTCATGGTGTATGTGTGCCACATTTTCTTCATCCAGTCTATCATTGATGGGCATTTGGGTTGGTTCCAAGTTTTTGCTATTGTGACTAGTGCTGCAATAAACATGCATGTGCATGCGTCTTTATAGTAGAATGACTTATAATCCTTTGGGTATATACCCAGTAATGGCATTACTGGGCCAAATGGTATTTCTGGTTCTAGATCCTTGAGGAATCGCCACACTGTCTTCCACAATGGTTGAGCTAATTTACACTCCCACCAACAGTGTAAAAGTGTTCCTATTTCTCCACATCCTCTCCAGCACCTGTTGTTTCCTGACTTTTTAATGATCACCATTCTAACTGATGTGAGATGGTATCTCATTGGGGTTTTGATTTGCATTTCTGTAATAACCCGTGATGATGAGCTTTTTTTCATAATTTTGTTGGCAGCATAAATGTCTTCTTTTGAGAAGTGCCTGTTCAGATCCTTCACCCACATTTTGATGGGGTTCTTTGTTTTTTTCTTGTAAATTTGTTTAAGTTCTTTGTAGATTCTCGATATTAGCCCTTTTTCAGATGGAGAGATTGCAAAAATTTTGTCCCATTCTGTATGTTGCCTGTTCACTCTGATGATAGTTTCTTTTGCTATGCAGAAGCTCTTTATTTTAATTAGATCCCATTTGTCAATTTTGGCTTTTATTGCCATTGCTATTGGTGTTTTAGTCATGAAGTTTTTGCCTATGTCTATATCCTGAATGGTATTGCCTAGGTTTTCTTCTAGGGTTCTTATGGATTTAGGTCTTATGTTTAAGTCTTTAATTCATCTTGAGTTAATTTTTGTATCAAGTGTAAGGAAGGGGTCCAGTTTCAGTTTTCTGCATATGGCTAGCCAGTTTTCCCAACACCATTTATTAAATAGGGAATCCTTTCCCCATTGCTTGTTTTTGTCAGATTTGTCAGAGATCAGATGGTCGTAGATGTGTGGCATTATTTCTTAGGCATCTGTTCTGTTCCATTGGTCTATATATCTGTTTTGGTACCAGTACCATGCTGTTTTGGTTACTGTAGTCTTGTAGTATAGTTTGAAGTCAGGCAGCATGATGCCTCCAGCTTTATTCTTTTTGCTTAGGACTGTCTTGGCTATACAGGCTCTCTTTTGGTTCCATATGAACCTCAATAAAATACTGACCAACCAAATCCAACAGCACATCAAAAAGCTTATCCAGCATGATCAAGTCGGCTTCATCCCTGGGATGCAAGGGTGGTTCAACATATGCAAATCAATAAATGTAATCCATCACATAAACAGAACCAATGACAAAAACCACAAAATTATCCCAATAGATGCAGAAAAGGCCTTCAATATATTCAACAGCCCTTCATGCTAAAAACTCTCAATAACCTGGTATTGATGGAATGCATCTCAAAATAATAAGAGCTATTTATGACAAACCCACAGCCAATATCATACTGAATGAGCAAAAACTGGAAGCATTTTCTTTGAAAACCAGACAAGACAGGGATGCCCTCTCTCACTACTCCTATTCAACATAGTATTGGAAGTTCTGGCCAGGGTAGTTAGGCAAGAGAAATAAATAAAGGATATTCAAACAGGAAAAGAGGAGGTCAAATAGTCCCTGTTTGCAGATGATGTGATTGGGGAAAGCCCCATTGTCTGAGCCCCAAATCTCCTTAAGCTGATAAGCAACTTCAGCAAAGTCTCAGGATACAAAATCAATGTGCAAAAAACACAAGCATTTCTATACACCAACAATAGACAAACAGAGAGCCAAATCATAAGTGAACTCCCATTCACAATTGCTACAAAAAGAATAAAAATCTAGGAACACAACATACAAGGGATGTGAAGGACTTCTTCAAGAACTACAAACCACTGCTCAAGGAAATAAGAGAGGACATGAACAAATGGAAAAACATTCCATGCTCATGGATAGAAAGAATCAACATCGTGAAAATGGCGATACTGCCCAAGTAATTTATAGATTCAATGCTATGCCATCAAGCTATCATTGACTTTCTTCACAGAATTGGAAAAACTACTTTAAATTTCATATGTTCTCATTCTTATATAAAGGTCTTAAAGTGCTAGTCATTTGGGGATCAGAGCCTAGGTTTGCTAACATCCTGTTTGCTAGGTTTGCTAACAGGAGTTGCAGAGAGTAGGTAAGTAACAGAAACCCGAGGTTGGTAAGGAGCACACTAAGAAACAGAGTGGAGCTGTGTCATGTTGTGCCATTGTAGTCACGATAAGGACTTCTGATTTTTCTTTTTACTTATTTTTATTTTAATTTAATTAATTAATTAATTAATTAATTAATTTGAGAAGGAGGCTCACTCTGTCGCTCAGGCTGGAGTGCAGTGGTGCAATCTCAGCTCACTGCAACCTCCGACTCCTGGGTTCAGGTGATTCTCCTGCCTCAGCCTCCTGAGTAGCTGAGATTACAGGCGTGCAACACCATGCCCAGATAATTTTTATAGTTTTAGTAGAGACCATGTTTCACCATGTTGGCCAGGCTGGTCTTGAACTCCTGACCTCAGGTGATCTGCCGGCCTCAGTCTCCCAAAGTGCTGGGATTATAGGCATGAGCTACTGCACCTGGCTTTCTGATTCTCTTTTAAGTGAGGGGAGTAGTCATTGGATGTTTTGGGTGAACAAGTATTTCATTGTGATATTTGAAAACAATTACCTTTGATTTTTTTGTAGACAATTGGTGGGAGGAACAAGGATAAAAGGAGGAAGAGCAGTAAGAAGGCATTCACAATAGTGTAGATGAGAGATGATGGTGGCTTGAACAGTAACACAGCAGCGAAAGTGATAAGAATTCTTAGAATCTGGATGTATTTTGAGTTATAGATAACTATCATTGGCAAATATTAGTGTAAAAGAAAGTACAGATAAAGATGTTGATCAAGTAAGATTGCAGGCAACAAATAACGAAGGAGAAAAAATATAGGTTTTTGAAAATCTTTTTAGAGGTAGATAAACATATTAAAGCAAAGAGACAAATGACAGAAAAATACTATAAACTGAAAACTATGTTTAGTAACATTTCTTAAAAATAGAATTGATGTTTTAATAACTAGGTCTATCATGTTTAAATAAAAAACAACTAAATAAAAGATGTGAATTCAAAAGATAAAAATAAATTTTGAAGGATATAAATAAAAGATACAAATATTAAAAAGTTATTTCATCTATTATAAAGCATCTACAGTTGGACTAAATGCTAATTAAATCTATCATCTTTAACTCTATTTTATTGATTTGCAGCTCAATAAAACAACACATTTGCTTACTAGATAATCTTGACGAAGGAAACAAATCTTGATATGTAACTGCCATTTTTAAATTTATAGAAGATATCATATAAAAAATGTGCTTGTTCATCGGCTTTCTATATTGGGAATGATAGTGTAATGGCAGATTTATTTGGGGATCTTATATGTAAATTTTTAAAATGCCTTATCACATGCAGATTTGAATCTCAACACCTAAGCAGATTACATTTCTCACATCTTTCCAAGAGAGCATTTAGATTCAATTCAAAATTCTATTTTTGCTGGATATGTAGGCCCAAATCACAAAGCTCTGGCTTAGTTTATTGTCACAGAAACAGCATAGCCTAAGATTTTCTTAAGTAGAGTAAACTGTAGATAGCTAACATTCATTTGTTTATTACATACAAAAATTTTCTAAGTCAAGTATTGTGCTTGCTTAGCAGAAGAACATAAAGGACACAAAAGTCCTAAAGCACTAAACTTTCTTAAATTTTGGCCTTTAGAAAGCTCAGAGTCTACCTGTCAGAGATATAAATAGTTATGTTTTAATCAAAAACTGTTCAGTATAATATTTGTATTTAAGTTTGTTAAGTCCATTAAAAAATCCAGCCCAGTAATAGCCAAATATATTTTCAAGAAAAAATATTTAGATTGATTTTTATTGTTAAAATGTTTTAATTACAATTTACAAATTCTGTGTTCCATGTGTATACTCAAATTTGACTATGTTTTTATCTATGACATGCAAGTTTTAAGAAGAGAATAATTAAGGAATGTTTGTCTTGGAAGGTGTTCAATAATTAACATCTATATTCCCTGTGTGTTAAATTGTTAAAGGTACATTTCCTTCATGTAAATTACATGTACTGTGTTTAGACTAAGACATTTTCTATATCTTGTTACAAAATTTGATGAAGTCTACATGTGTATAGATTACAGTTGTCACAAAACTGTAATCTATACAGTTTGCAAAAAATATGCATTTTGCTTTGGAATTCCTAGGATATTTTTGGTATCTTCAATTTGGCTACAGTAATATGAATAAAAAACTGATAACCATTTGAGATTCAGAATATACTTATTTCTACAATACTCAATACTGTATTGAAACAGGCTTTTAGAATTTCTTGAAAAGATCAATGACTTCATGTATTATTCAATATAGTATAGTGATATGGAGATACTACTGTACATTTATATATAAAAATAACTTCAAAATTTAATACATTTAAATAAATTTAAAATTAAAAATAAATTCAAAGATAATTATACACAAGATAAAAAGTGACAAGAGCTCCATGACAATAAGTGGAATAAAAAATACGGTGAAGGAATAGGATTTTGAATTAAGGTTGCATTCATTTTACGTTGGAAATCATGACAAAAATAAAATTATTTATATATATGGCCATTGTAAGATAAATCTACAGTGTATTTTTTTCTTAAGATGCATTAGTATGCAGTGAAAATCAGTATTACTTAAATGAATGACATTATTTATTATTACTCCAGTTTAAATTTAATTAAAGTGACCAAAAATTATGATTTTTACCTCTTTTCTTAGTACTAACTTTAATAATACTTACTTTTATTCTCAAACCTGGGCTTGAGTAAATGCTAAAATACATGATCACCTATATATAAAATATAATTTAGCACAAAGTTAAGAGAAAACATACAATTAATCCAATGAATATTATAATACAACCATATAAAAGGAGCGGAAACAGGAAGTGTAGGTGTGGTTGGTATTAAGAGTGTAGAAAATCGAAGACAGCTTTTTCTTCATTTCCATGGTGAGACGGAAAGCCTAAAACTAAAAAATCAAGAAAGAGCAGTATAAGCATGTTGTATAGAAACATAAACAAATGCCAAAGGAACAGTTTTCCTTTGAAACTGCTTCAAAGAGTTGAAAGAGGTTGCCTCTGGAGAGTAAAAAGATGAAGGTGGTTGATGAAGCCAGGGGATTGCTGCTTTTTATGATAAACCTTAAAGAATGATTTGATTCTCTAAGCTATATGCATGTACAATTTTACTTTAAAAAATTAAAAATAAAAGCTATGAAATTATATTCACCAAATAATTGGTGGTGATTTCATGGGAAATGATGCTTGAAGGATTTTTTATCCCTTTCAAGATATTCATGTAAGTGATATGAATGAAGCATTCTAAAATTCAGGCTATTTTTTTCAGTTTTTGGTTAATAATAATGATAATTGACTATGAGTCAGGTACTGTACTATGGTTTTGAAATTATTTTACTAAATATAAGAAATGATAATGTAATAAAAATTGAGGCCCAGATAGTTTATATATAACAGAAGGTAAAATGGCTATTAAATGACAGTAGTAGGATTTAAACCAAGAACTTTGAGTCTAGAAACTGGGTTATTACTCATTATGCCATATAATGTCAAGCATCTTTATTTAACATTCTTGTTTAGAGGGAATAGTGTCCCCCTAAATATATCTGCATCTGTATCCCTAGAACCTATGAATATTTTACTTCACATTCCCAAAAGAGACATTACAGATTGTGATTAATGATTAAGCTAAGGGTTTTGAGATGAGAAGGTCATTCTGAACCACCTGCGTTGGCCTAATGCAACGACCAAGATTACAGGAGAGTCAGAGACAGAGATAGAAGCATGAGAATGGAAGGACAGTTGAGTAAGTGTGTGTGTGTGTGTGTGTGTGTGTGTGAAAGAGAGACAGAGAGAGAGAAAGAGAGAGAGAGATGAAGATACCATGGTGCTGGTTTTGGCTTTGAAAATTTAAGGCATGGGCCATGAGCCAATGAATGCAGGTAGTCTGTAGACACTGGAAAAGGCCAGGAAACAGACTCTTTCTTGAGATCTTTGAAGGAACACAACTCTGCTGATCAATTTTGTATTTCAGACTTTTAGAAATCTAAGACAGATAATAAATATGTGTTCAGTCACCAGGCTTGTAGTAATTTGTTATATATTCAACAGAAAACTAATACAGACATCTTTTATAATATGGCCTGGCTACAATAGAATCATACCAACTGGGAACAATAAATAGTGAAGTTCAGTCTCACCCAAGAACCTAGAAGGACCCTTGTTTATAATGAAGCATTTGCCACTTAGGTGTATTTCTTTCCTCCTCTTCTATCAGAAACAGGCCTTAATTCTCAACTATCTATCACATCAGTGGTTCATATTAGAACTTTGTGGATCAGAGTTCCTGGTTTCCAGGGTTAAACTGAAGCTGGATTACATAATGTTCATCCGTGACTACCAACTTTTATGTTATTGATTTAAATTTGTAGAAACTTTCATATCCAGAAACAAAGAGATGTCAGAGTATACTGCTATTAAAGATTCAAAAAGTGGCAGCTAAGGAGTTAAAAAAAAAAGGATTTGGCTAGATTTAATATAATTCTTATCCTAATCCTCAGATAATATGGCAGGGGGGAGGAAGAGAGGGGGAGAGAGAGAGAGAGAGAGAGAGAATATGAATTTGAAATTAAAGACCCTGAAGGTAATTTTTTAGTGACAGGTCTTTTACTAAGTTTCCTTTACTTCCTCTTTCTGTACATTTTGACATCATAACTTCTTCTTTTATGAGCATAATGTTTCAAATAAAATATTTTTAAAATCAAGTACTTCTATTGATCACTTTAGTCAGAAGATCTACTAAATAAAACTAAGTGCGTAATCATTATTGAGAAGTGTGATAAGATGATATTTAACCACACTAAGGACATTGGCATTCTTACAGTCATAACAGTCCAGTTCATTTAGAAATATTTAGAAATATGTTGCACTTTCCATCTTGTACATATTATCATTACTAAACAAACTGAAATTGTCTTCTTTTCTCAGGTCCTAGAATGAGAACATCAAAAATATTGTAGAAATACACTTATAGCTTAAAAATATGCATATTCCTTTCCTTCAATATTTCATTTCTACAAAGTAAAGATTCACCTCTTAAGTACGGCAATTTAACTGTATTTATTACTAAAAATGTCATGACAAACGATCTTAAAAATATAAAAACACATATATATGCCATGCTGATTTGAAATAAAATATGTGTGTTATAGGTTTGCATGTATGTTTAGTTATATATAATATATAGATATATATGTACATGTACATATATATGTATATAAATCTATACATATAGATGCACAAATACTTATATGCATACACATATAGACATACACATAATATCTTTATATATAAAAATATATGCACTAATCAAAATATTAAAAATGGTTATATTCAGTCTATTATTGATGGGCATTTGGGTTGGTTCCAAGTCTTTGCTATTGTAAACAGTGCTGCAATAAACATATGTGTGCATGTGTCTTTATAGTAGAATGATTTATAATCCTTTGGGTATATACCCAGTAATGAGATTGCTGGATCAAATAGTATAAATAAAATGTGATACATATACACCATGGAATACTATGCAGCCATAAAAAAGGATGAGTTTATGTCCTTTGCAGGGACATGGATGAAGCTGGAAACCATCATTCTCAGCAAACTAACACAAGAACAGAAAACCAAACACTGCATCTTCTCACTCATAAGTGGGAGCTGAACAATGAGAACACATGGACACAGGGAAGGGAACATTACACACTGGGGCCTGTCAGGGGGGACTAGGTGATGGATAGCATTAGGAGAAATACCTAATGTAGATGATGGGTTGATGGGTGCAGCAAACCACCATGGCACGTGTATATCAATGTAAAAATCCTGCACGTTCTGCACATGTATCCCAGAACTTAAAGTATAATAATTTTTTTAAAAATACATATATATATATAACTATATATGTAATATATAGTTATATATATAGTAAAGTGGTTATACCATGTTCATGTTACTTTTTTTATTGACTAAAGTTTAAAGTATAGGTTATGGTAACTGAAAAAATATTCATTTCTATTTTAATATATTCAAGCTGCAGAGAATTTGGATTTAGGGTTTCTCACAATGGGATGATGTAGATATTGAAAACGGTCTTAGTAATTGTTAGGTTGTACATTGTTCTTAATGAGTATTTCTGATATAGTTCTCACAGTGACCTCTGTGGGAAGCCTTAATAATAGCTTGGAGGTAACCACTATTTGCCTCAAGGTCTCCTATACTCTAAAGAACAACCCAGTTATACAATCCTCAGGCTCTAAGTCCTGCGGATCTGGTGCCGCATTCTGCAAGTTTCTGTAAATCACCTTCATAAAGCAGTAAAATAAAAATGAATTTATTTGATTTACAGTTGGGTAAAGACTGATTATAATTATGTTATCCAATTTAATGGAAATGTTTGTCAAAGAGCTATCTGCAGGATTACTAACTTAAAATGATGGCAGTATAGTGTACATAGTTAGAAAGCATTTACAACACGGTTTCTCATAAATAAATCAAAGACGGAGTTAAATCTGCTGCCTTCGACACATAGGTGGTTATAGGAGGATGTGGATTCTGATTTTTGCTATGTATTTTGAAGACACAAGATTTACTAAGTTGAAATAGGACCTTCCATTGTCAATACAATTTCTAAGGTAGAGCAATGTGGAAATAGAGAAGAGGCTAAGAACATGAAAACTGGGAAAGGGAAAATTATGTCTACAAGTCAGTGGCTCAAAAATTAGCTAGACTCAAGTTACTAAGGATGGATATGATAGTGATGTTGATGAAGAAAGTAAAGAAATTGCAAATCAAACATGAAGTGTGAAAGATAAGTCTGAAAACAGATATGAGTAGATGGAGGCATGTATGTGTGATAGGGAAAACGGTTCCCCAAAGATTTCCACACTCTAATCCCTGAAACCTTTGAATGTTTATATCTCGTGGCAAAATAGACTTTGAAAATACAACTGAGGTCACTGGTCTTACCTTAGAACCTGAGATTAGTTTATATTATTCAGACGGGAGCAATCTAATCACATGTACCCTTAAAAGCAAACAACTTTCTCCAGCTGGAAGCAGAAGAGAGCAGGAACGTTGGACAGATTTTGAGTTTAAAGGGACCACATGTAAGAATTAGAAAGGGGCTTGTAAGAGCAGAAGACAGCCCCCAGCTGACAGCCAATAAGGAAATGGTGACTGTAAGTCTTCTTCCCTCAAGGAACTGGATTTTTTTGAAAACTGGACTGACTTTGGAATCAGATTCTTTCTGGAGTCTCTTGATGACACAGTCTGTTGACACTGATTTCTGCCTGTAAAACTTTGAGCAGAGAAACTAGCTGAGCCAACACAAACCTATGAACTATGATATTGTGAGGTCATAAATATGTGTTAAAAATAAAAAAAGTGTTTTAAGCCTCTAAGTAGTTATTAATGTATTAAAGTAGCAATAGGAAATTATACAGTATGATTTGCTAGAAAGGAACAAGGTTCTTATCACAAAGGAACAGCATGTTAGAACTGGAGAAGGGTGGTATGGGTAACAAAAGGTGTCTGTGTGTGCATGCATGCATGGATACGCACATGTCCATATGTACATGTGTTAGGCAAATACATGGTCACTGCAAGGGAGTTAAGTCAGAATATTTCAAAAGGAATAATAAAAGGAGTAACATTAATGATGTCAAAACATTTGGGTAATGACAATTAAAATTAATGATGTCAAAAAGTTTGGGTAATGACAATTTTATGGCAATTATTAAATTGACTTTTGATATGTAGTCACCCTAAAAGATACGTTAGTTGACGGACATTCATAAAAAGAAAAGTCTTCATGTGAAACAGGTGTATTTTTTTTCTTCTCAACTTTTATTTTAGATTCAGGGAGCGCATGTGCATATTTGTTACATGGGTGGATTGTGAGTCGTTGAGGTTTGTTGTATGAATGATCCTGTCACCCACGTAGTGAGCATAGCACCCCACAGATAGATTTTCAACTCTCACTCTCCTCCCCATGCTAGTACCCCCCGGTGCCCAATGTCTATTGTTCCAAGTGAACAGATACTTTCTGTAACTTTTAAAAATATCTCAGGTGCTATAAGACCGTGGCAGATTAAGGAAGTAAATCAGAACTGCTATTATTCAGATAGAAAAGATGAGCATTTCCTTGCATAATGCCAAGATGTGAAAATGACATGTTGAAGGGAGGATAAAAAGTAAGCCATCTTTGTACTTGAATCTTCAGGAAACAATACTTCTCTAATATCTATAGTACTTGCTTCCTCTTAACTATAGAATTCAAAATATGATCAGCTGTAATTTTATCTATAATTGTAGGTAGGCCTGTATTAAAGATGCAGGCTGGGCAGCTATGCCAGTGTAGCCTTTGCACGTTTTTCTACCTGCTTTATATTCTGGCTGTGCTGGCAAGTGATTAGATTGAACCCACCCAGCTTAGGGATGAGTCTGCCTTTCGCAGCCCACTGACTCAAATGCTAATCTACTTTGGCAGCTCCCTCAGAGACACACCCAGGATCAATACTTTGCATCCTTCAATCCATCAAGTTGACACTAAGTATTCACCATAATATCTTGTTTATATCAGCAACTAATAGCCCTTCCAGAGACCCCAACAGAGCTTATTATCTCCCTTACAGCCTCATCCTCCCAGTTACTCCAGCCAGAAATCCTGGACTTTTCATTGACTCTTTTTTTTTTTTTTGTCTCACATAGTACATCCAGTCCATCATTATCTTCTGTAGACTTTGACTGCAAAATATAAACAGATTATGATCAGTTCTCCGTATCTATTGACACCATCACTTACCCAGACACTATTTCTCATCTGGATTTCTGAAATTTTCTCCTACCTACTCTTGCTGCTGTTGCCCTCACTCTTACATTGTCTATTTTTAAAACAAGACTCATAGTGTTCCTGTTATTTTGTAAGTCAGGTCAAAATATTTCATTCGTGTCAATCTGCTCATGACTCTATCACTTCTCTTATTCCTCAGTGTAAAACCAATGTAATAAAACAGCCTAAAAAGCTTAACTGATCTGATTCCAGTACATTGTTAGACCTGATCTCCCAGACCTTCTCTTTCATTGTACCCCAGTTGTTCTCCCCTCCTTGCTGCAAGTTGAACATTTGCATCTCTTTGTACCCTCTTTTCCCACTCTTTGGGATGTAATGCAACTGGATAACTGCAGATCCTTCCTTTCAGATCTCTACTGGACCTCGATGAGGCCTTCAGTAGTCCTCTGCTAGTAAACAGTATATCTACTTTTACCCTTATCTGTAACAATCTCCTTGGCTTTCTGGTTTTGTTGTGGATGCTGAATAAGTGTTTAATATCACCTATTACAATAAAATATGTTATATATTTGTTACTATATATTTATTAAGTGACTGTCTCTCCTAATAAGATTGCTAGTCTGGGCCGGGCGTGTTGGCTCACAGCTGTAATCCCAGCACTTTGGGAGGCCGATGCAGGTGGATAACGAGGTCAGGAGATTGAGATCATCCTGGCTAACACAGTGAAACCTCATCTCTACTAAAAATACAAAAAATTAGCCAGGCTTGGTGCCATGTGCCTGTAGTCCCAGCTACTCGGGAGGCTGAGACAGGAGAATCACTTGAACCAGGGAGGCGGAGGTTGCAGTGTGCAGTGAACTGAGATCTCGCCACTGCACTCCAGCCTGGGTAACAGAGTGAGACTCTGTCTCAAAAAAAAAAAAAAAAAAAAAGATTGCTAGTCTGTTGGGAGTTGGGATTTTATTCACTTAATTCACTTGTATCTATACATATATACACACACGCAAAATTAACAAAATAAGCCAGGCCCAGTGGCTCACACCTGTAATCCTAGCATTTTGGAAAGCCGAGGCGGGCAGATCACCTGAGGTCAAGGGTTCGAGACCAGCCAGGCCAACATAGTGAAAGCCTGTCTCTAGTAAAAATACAAAAATTAGCCGGGTGTGCTGGCACATGCCTGTAATCCTAGCTACTTGGGAAGCCTGAGGCAGGAGAATTGTTTGAACCCAGGAGGTGGAGGTTGCAGTGAGCCAAGATTGTGCCGTTGCACTCCAGCCTGGGAGACAGAGTGTAACTATTAAAAACATATAGTAAAAACAAAATGAAGCAACTTTATATACTTTTATGGAATGAAGGAAATGTATCAATATCAGTTAGTGGGGAAAAAAGCAGAGTAGTAATCTTATGTGCTGCTATTGGGCAAAAATTATATTAATAGGTAGAATATTTAGTTTATTCTGGAATATCTCTGTATACATGCAGAAAGAATCATAATAGAGGAGGATAAAGGGACTCTGAATGAGTAATAAGAGAGAACTCTAACATTTCACTTTCAATATATATGCTGTTTCTTTGATCATGCACATATATTATATATCTCCAAATAAATACATTACTCAGAAAAATAAAACTATCAAAATTTGACTATTCATGCAATGACTATGCCCCCAAAACAGGTAAATTTGTGAAACTATAAACCAACACACATTTATTATCCGCTATATTTAAAAGTTGAGGTAGGTACTTCAAGGATATTAGAAACATGTAAATTACACCTCTCCTTTAAAAGGGCACATGATCAAGTTGAAAAGATAAGATCTAATTTTTGAAATTTTAAATAAATGATATGAATTTAGAATTTTAATCCAGGAATATCTTCTGTGAATAGTATGTGCCTGGATATTTCTGGGTTATATGAGATATAGAAATCTATTTTAGTATTCAAAGGATTCATACTCTAAATGGAAGGGTAAGAACATACTGCCATGTCCTTCCTCAATAAGCACAGGGATTCTGCATATTGTTATCCAGAGTGCACAGTGACCCAAGCCCTTAACGAGAAAGTGTTAAAAGATTTATTGATAATGATGGAGAAGCAGAGTTGAACCAGAACACACAAGCCCCTTTAACTTTGCACAGTTTTTCCATTTAAACATCTGGTTGGTCCAGCAAATTATCAAGAAGAGAATCCCATGACAGAATACTCTTCCCTCACATAGCTTGTTATAGGTGTATGCTATCCCAAAATAGGGTAAAGTAACTTTATATTATTTGCAACAAGGAACATGACAAGAAAACTCAGTCCTAGGAAACAAATACAGAGCTCTGCCAGGGAGATTTCATATGAACCTTGCCAATATCAGGTAGATGTCTGGATATTACTCTGAGAACCAGTTCAGTGCAACTAAACAGCACTGTGCCAGACGACATGGAACAGAAAAGTGGACAGGAAGGGCCATTCATCCAAAGGCTTTTCTCTTCTCCCTCCACTCTATCACTGGCCCATAGAGTCTTATTAGATGTACAGTTCCCAGTCTAACATCATAATCATTTAGACTTTAATTGGGCCTTCAATGCCTGCTTGCAGAGCTAAAGAAGATGCAGCAAAATTCAAAAGATTACAAAGCTTATAACATAAAGTCTATCACACCAAAACCAATTGGCACACTCGGAGTTATCTGCCTGCTCCTTCAGATATTTCTCTGAGATCTCAATTTGAGCTAAGGTATTGACTCAAAAGTAGTATAATACTTAGACATTTTATCCTCCCCTTCTTAGAGATCCTTCAAGAGTTCAGGGTCAGTACAACCTGGACAAAGAGTAATATTTGCTGTGCTTAGCAATAAAGACCTAGGCTATCTGATCAGAAAATTCCTATACAGTGTCCCATAAGTTTGAGATAACTCATTGGGCTTCATAATCATCTGTGCTTCATGATGAAAGCCTGTGTATATCAGGCTTTCATCACTCAGAAAAGTTGTGGTGTTGACACCAGAGACAATGAAAAGAAGTGTCAGTAATGATTTCTGGATTTTTAGCAATCTTCAGAAAATAAGTGTTCAGGTCCAACAGGGAAACAGCAGAGTCCCTGCCATCTGTAGAGGAAAACAAGTCCTAGAGGCACAAAGAGTCTCACCCACACTTGTATTCAAGACAACATCCAAATCTATCCAGTATTTATACTTCCTTTGGTGGGCACACAGGTTGGGGGCTGCTAGAGAGTATAATGAAGGTAGCTCCGTGATGGAGAAAAATATGACCAGGGCATTAAGGAGCAAATCTGGGTTTCTGTTTGTTTGTTTTTTTCCCAGCTATTATGGAAAAGTACTGATTCTTTTAGGAACCAAGATATTAAGGTGAGAATATCAGGGATAAAGTTACAAACTACAAAGGAATAAAATGAAAGATACACTTTATTTTCCAAAGACTTTCTGATTTTACATCCCTAACACACAGCAATTAAGCTTAGGTAGAATGAGAATGATGGTCTGTAACTTATAAGTAGTTGAAAACAGTTCTTACAGAATTCTTCCTCACCGAGGCTGGGATAGGTTGCAAATAGGATAGACTTTGTAGTTCTTTGTGATAATTTCTTTGCTGTAATATTTTGAGCATAAACCCACCAAGCTATAATAGAATTGAGTACACATACTTATTCAATCTAGAGGGTGTTCTTTAAATGGTTGCTTTCTGACTGATGGTACATGTGAAATATATTTTTATATATATTATTCTTATATATATATGAGAGTCTATAAGTTAAACATACATTACATCACTACATATTTTGTTATCTATACCTTGGTGTCCTAGTGGCCTCATCATAGAGCTAAGACATTATTAGTAACTACCCATGAGTCTAGATGAAGATACATTTCAATCAATCTCTTCATACTTCATATCCCAGAGCAGGACCTGAAATTAAGCCCCTTATAAAGAATATCTGATACTACACACAATCAGCTGTTTATTGTTTTTATGGGGGATTGCTGTAGCATTCCACTAGATATTCCATGCTGGAAGTGGATTGTTTCATCAGCAAATCACGCTGTCTTATCTGGTGACAAGTTTTATAGCTGAGATCCTCTTATACCAGTGGTACAGATAATACAGTGAGTGGTACTGATTCTGTTGATCATGGGTCTGTTCCTCGCACCTCTTTCTTGGAATTGGCTAAGGATTTGAGGGCCTCTGCTGGCCTTAACAGGATACGCCATTTTCACTTTACAATAGAGGACATTGGAATATCAGGGCTCTAAACTGTATTCTCACTCAAGGCCCAGGCAACTTTAAATCACTCCAGCATGAACAGTTTCCTCATTGGGAGGCACCATCAGAATGTCTTAAATGAAAAGATATATTTTAGCACATACCAGTAGCTCATACTGTGCTAAAACTTGTCTGACCCTTTGATAAAATAATGCAGAATAATTCACATACCTTGTAAAAGGAGTGCACAGATGTACGGCAAGCTTTGCCACATGGAAGCAAATTGATCCTGGCCTTTTTTTGGAAGAACAGTCATAAAAAATTACAAAGTGTTGAATGTCCAAAGCTTCATACCAGCTACCAGTCATGGCAGCAGTCTGTTTAGTCACAGTGATAACATCAGCTGTTGCCTGTGAAGTGGGAGCTAATTTTTCATTTTAGCTTTGATATTCCACAGAAGGGATCCAAGCATCAGTGATGTTCAATGTTAATGGAATAGCATCCCAAAGAGCTCCTGCCTTCATGAAATATTTTTGAGAAGAACAAGTAGTTTTTCTTCTGTTATTATGGGATATTGTTTCAACTGTATAATCTTGACAAGTTTTGTAAGTACAGCAGGTACCTGGCAATGAGCTACAAATATAGTGATAGAACTCATCAGTAAGAGTTCATGGATGTGTCTAACTAGCTTGCTTACACTCGGTGTTTGAACATAAAATATCCATATTCAGTGTAACATTTATTCAATGACCATGAATCACAATTTAATTAAAGAACCCAGGAATATTTAAAATAATTTTGACAGCTGTCTCTTGGCCAAAAATAATGACCTTTCAAAATACTGAAAGGGGAACTTTTTTTTTTTTTTTTATTAAGACCGTCCTTAGCTCTAAAGATAATAGCTATCCAAATCTTCAATTCCAAGCAAGCCCACAGTTACCTGGCAAACCCCAGCCTCCTTTTTGTTTGTTTTTGCAGTGTACATAAGTTGGACAGTAGAGTCAAGAGTCCCATTAAGGGTGGCAAGAAAACAGACTTGGTCACTAGTCTTCATTTTGCTCACGTGGTCTCACTGTTGGGTAAGGGAATGCTCCACAATGAAAATAGAGAAAGAGTGGGACTCATTCAGCTGTTACGAAGGGACATCTCAAATTGTAATTCCAAGGTGTCCACTCTACTGTTAGCTACACTAGAGGTTTCTCTTTCTCTTCTTAGAACTTGAAACTTCTTCAAAGTGGTGAGAAGAAGCCAGGGATTCAAGATTTAAGTAAACATACTATCCTTGGTTGCTCTCTGCAGTCATATTCTATTGCTTACCCTAAAAATCACCTCAAACTTAATGGCTTAAAACATGTTCATTATCTCACAGATTAAGTTTGTCCAACCTGCAGCCTGCAAGCTGCATGTGGCCCAAGATGGCTTTGAACATCTCAACACAAATTCATAAACTTTCTTGAAATACTATGAGTTTTTTTTTTTTTTAAAGTATTTTAGCTCATCAGCTATCATCAGTGTTAGTGTATATCTGGCCTAAGACAATTCTCCTTCTTCTAATGTGGCCGAGGGAAGCCAAAAGATTGGACACCCCTGTCATAGATTTTGTGGGCAGAATTCTGGACACCGTGTTTTACCTACTTTTTCTGTTCCAGGTCTTAAAAGATCAAGGTTCCACAGGGCTGCTTTTTTGTGTAAGGTATAAGAATGAATTTGCTTCTAAACTCATTGGGGTTATTGGGTGGAGTCAGTCCTGGTATTTTGATGGCTGTCAGCCTGTTGCTGACCTTTGCCCCAGTGGCTGCCATACCCTGTTATGGTGCATTCAACTCTGCTTTAGAATTCCCTTCACCATCAGACACAGCTTCTCATCCATCTGGATCTGGATATTCCAATTTAGCCAAAAGACCGCCCACAGCCCAAGACATTGGTTGGGACTTGGAGAGCCCAGTTTGAATTTTTTTCCAGTTTCAGAAAAACTGTAACACTGAGACTGCAGCACGGAATTCCCTCTGGTGATCGAATCTCATGCAAGGAAAGTGTGCAGATATTGAGCCTAATGCTTCTCACCTCTGAACATACCCTTTTAAATTCTGCTTGGGATGGTGAGCCGGAACCTTGGAGGCTAATTTCCCCTTTGTCTTGTGGCTGTCTGTCAGCATCTGAAATAGGATGCAGTAGATGCTGACTGGAAGAGA
Source organism: Homo sapiens (assembly GCF_000001405.40). Classification (NCBI taxonomy): domain Eukaryota; kingdom Metazoa; phylum Chordata; class Mammalia; order Primates; family Hominidae; genus Homo; species Homo sapiens. The sequence goes on along the minus strand of NC_000013.11, from coordinate 87,396,040 downwards.
AAAGGAGGAGAAAAAGGTGTTCCCCTTTCTTTTTCACTTTACGTTTTTTGTCAGTGTTGCCATTGCAAAGACAGTTGACCTTGGAAGTGGCCATTGGTTCCAAGCTCTAGATCGTGCCTGCTTTAATAGAACTATCTGATCCCTCACCCTCATACCACTTAGCAGTACCAGCACTAGCCAGCATCCTCTCACCAGAGGTCTGGGCCCCAGACATAGGCTCACAAAGGCCCTTTCTCTAAGCATCTATATTCTAGTAATGCTGACTTCTTCCCCTTGTTCCCTTGCTTCTTTCAGCTCTTGGGTGACCCACGCTACTTTAGTGTTCCTTGTACCTTTTATTCCTTCATATGTTTAATCAATTACCTATATTAAAATATCTTTGTTTAAAAGTTAGTATAGTTTCTATTTTTCTGAACTTGCTTTCCTTAACATATCATAGAGGAGTAAAACAACACACAGCATTGTCCCATACTGAGAGTGCTGCTATTGGCTGGGGGGGCTTCTGCCTTCTACGAGCAGGGTCTGTGCAGGGAACTGATGGCAAAAGGAGCATGTAGCCATCCACCCAAGGCTGTGCTTTTCTTCTACAAAAAATCCATTTATTATTTTCATAAAGAAAATAAATTAGTATATGAATGAGTAGTAAGTGCCTGCAAAATTGTGTGCTACATGTTTTTAACATATTCCAGAATAACCAAAGCAACGTTTCACAAATAGCATTGTTTTCTTCATTATGGAATCTTTCTCACAATGAGTAGATACATTGTCTAATGAAAAACTGACATTTAACTGAAATATGACCATCATCTGCATTATTTATATAATTAAAGTGTTTCAGATACACAGCTGCTTGCTAATAAATAATCCCACATTTGAAAAATGTTCATATATCAAACTAAAGAGGTCAACTACTTAAAAAAAACTTAGCAAAATTTTTTTTTAGTAAGATAGAAATGTATGTGCAAAAGTTACATTTATTGATAGGAAGTTACTTTCTCAAAACTTTTATATTCCTCTAAGTAAATGATTTGCTATTATAGCAACAAATTTATATGTTAAAATGCCATTTACTGACATCAACTATTTCTGCAGTATCATACAAGTAGTTTTGGGTAAAAGCCCTTCAAAGTGCAATTAGTAACGATGAACATTAACTCATTTGGAAAGGCATTTCATTTTAAAGCACTGTGTTAAATTTAAGTTTGGCCTTTCAGCTATGATTAACCATGGTATAAATTACAAAAAAATAAAGCTTCATTATGTCATATTTGCACAAAATAAGATAAACATACATACAAGATATTCACATTATGAGAAAATCAAATTCATTAGAAATCCTCTAAATTATTTTTTATTTAGTGAGATGTCAGAAATAAGAATCAAGACTTGTTTCTTCAGTATGTAGGGCATATATAAATAACTGACATGAGCTTGAATTAAATGCAAGTTTGCCATATTTGACTTATAAAAAAATAAATACTACATACGCATATAAACACAACACACACACATACAAATAATATTAACTCTTCCATTTAAATTACATCTGTTGCACATTTGATTGTAAATCTCAAGAAATCACTGTTGCCAGCTGTATTATAAATGAGTTCTACTATAGCTTAATTTCTTACTGGCTGAAAAAAGAAACAAGCTCTCACTCTCTTTCTCTCTCTCTCTCTCTCCCCTCACACACACACACACACACACACACACACACACACACACACACACAGACGATCAGAAATACACCTGGGAGCCCATGCCTACTTTTGTAGCAAGGAGCATAAAGATAGTATAACAAATTCCTTCTGCTCTTAGACCACAAATTATATTTATTCTTTGAGCTGTTTTTTCATTTCTGTCCTTGTTGATCTTCCTAGACTTTGCTAGATTCTGTCACCCTTTTGCTGATTAAGATATGATTTGGAGAAATTTCCTTAGAATTTAGAATGCCTTAAATAGATGCCTGGAACACAGGTGTTCTGAACAATAAATGTGCTTAAAAGTCTTTATTTCAGGGGGAGAAAAACAAAGCATTTTGCTTTTTTCAATGTATTCAGGTGCAGGATGCCAGCAAAGCCCCAACAACGTCTGAACAATGTTAACACTCTTGGTCAGAGCTAAGTAATGGTTGCCCATATAACAGCACATTAGGAAATCTGTATTTCATCTTTAAATCAAGATTTGAAACTCATTGTTATATCTCTGATTTGTTTCTCAAAGCCTGAACCCAGTATCTTCACCTTCAAATTTATGCTCTTATAATCTTTCCAACTTGATATATTTTTTTCTTATAAATATCTTTCAGATCCTCCTTTTATCAGCCTCAAGCAGATACTGCCCACTCCCCATCTCATCCCTGGCTCAGGATCTACAGTCTATGAAATTTGTGGAAAATGTAATTAAATATAAAATGTCTTTGAAACCCAGAAAACCTCTCCACAATGGCAGTAGAGAAAGAAAACACATTATTGCTGAATAATCATTAAGCCAGAATGTGATACACATCACAGACAGATCCCTATGGGATTGCAAATACAAGAAAAAAATCTCACCTTTTTATATAGCCAAGCAGATAGAACCTATTACATCCATGTTTTTAAGATAAACTCTAGCTAGTCCTAAAGCAAAAAGGACAGCACTATTTGTCAAACATAGTTCATCCTAGATTTACCTGGCAATTGTGATGACCATGTGTGTTAGCTAATTAGCTTTATCCAGAGAACAAACAAACTTCTTATATCTTTATGACACAAGATGCTTTGCAACATAAGGTAAGGTTCCCACTGAAGTTAGTCTCTTACCAAGGCACAGAGAGTGGTAGTACCATCTTCCTTAAAGATTCCATTTCCAAAAGATCATCCCCGGGTCCTTGAGAAAGTAATTCCTGAATCTTAAAACTGACAGGAGGCTTGTTTAGCTCTTAAAAAGGTTTACATACATTTCAAAGAGACTAAGAAGGAACTTACATTAACAAGTGATAGAATATGAAGTAAATATTTAATAAAAGGGAGTAGATTGTAGAGAGTGTCTCTTCCCTTGTTTCCAAGAGTAATTTTTTTTCTATTTGTATTTATCTTACATTATTAGTATCATAGCCCTGGGAGGCTTATTCAAGAAGAAATTGCTGAGTGACAGGACCCTGAAAGATTTTCTAGTTCATGTATATTCAGGTAAGGACTCTATTTTCAATGATTAACTAATGTCTGGCTAATGAGAAAGTAGATAAAAGGATAAAAATGCTCTTCTTCACCCTACAGAATATGGTTTAAAGTTCTATCTATGAACATCTAAGCTTGCAAGATAAAAATGAAAGCGGGTATAAGCTTGGAGAAAGTCCCTGAAGAATATTTAATAATTTCCCCCTCTTGCAAGAGAACAGCAGAAGTCACATATTACTTTAGGAGTCAAATGGTTGGGACATTTTATTTTAAAGGAGAGTTGTTTTTATATAACTTTGTGCTCATTAGTAAGATCTGTCCAGAGAAACACTGATTTATGTATTATTAAATGTTAAACCTCTAACAAGAGAGAAGTCTCCTGATCCTAGAATAACTTTAGATTTCTCATATCTCTATGTAGGCCTTGGGGGTAATTGGAACAATTAAATAGAAGCCCCTAATTTATATAAAAGTTTTAGAAACCACTTAGAAGCAGAATTTATTTTTAATGAAGTAGGTGCTGGGGATAATAAAGAGATGGAAAGAGTATTATAAAATTTTTGGGGCTTGGCTACTAAAAACGTCAATGAAAATAGGGTTCCAGTAAGAGCCAAGGGGAGCACTTTGTTGTGCTTATCTCCTCTCCTTGAGGCTCTTTCTCCCTAAGTCTCCCTTCTTGCACATGAGGCATTTTTTGTGCATCTAAGATATACCAAGTTTATTTATACCTAAAAGCCTATACACATTATGTGTCCTACAACTATTGCTGCCCACATCATTTAAAATCTTTGCTAAAATATTAGCTCTTCACAAAGGCCAGTCCTGTGGACTCTATAAAGCAGCCTTTCCACCATCTCACAACACATTGCCTGCCCTACATGTTTCTCCAAAGCACTTAATTATGACTTGATATCATACCAGTTTATAATTTATTTTCTGTCTTCGCAATAAAAATATAATTCGTCTAATAGCAGAGGTTTTGTATATCTTATTTACAATGATCCTGGAAAATACTGCCTAAAACAGAGCCTGGGAAATAAAAAAGTACTGAAAAATGTAGTTTAAAAGGATGGATTTATAATATGAACCCTGATAAAGGGGAGGGGAAATTTCGAGTAAAAAACAAAATTAGTGAAATTTCAACATTTTATTTTTGCCCACATATAAATATTGGGTCTTTAAATACATATTTTGATATTTATCTTACAGTGCTTAATTTAATTGCATCATGCAGGTCAGGTAAGAGAATGGAAATAAGCTGAATCTATTTGGAGACCTTTGAGCTTCCTGTGTTAGGATGTCCATATCTCTCTAAAGATTTGGGATGTTTTCAGCTGTTATTTTATTAAGTTTTCTATTATGTTTTCCTATTTTTTCTTCTTGTGGACATTTCTTAATGTAAATATTTGTTTACCTAATGGTGTCGCATATGTCCCATAGGACTTCTTCATTCTTTATTCTATTATTTTTGTGTTTTATTTTTGTCTTACTATTTAAAGACACCTGTCTTCAATTTCAGAAACTCTAAATAGAATAATAACAAGTAACAATATTGACTTAGCATTTTTTAAAAAAAATCCAAACAACAACACCAACAAAAAAGCCCAGGACTGGATGGCTTCACTGCTGAATTCCACCAAAATTTAAAAAAGAACTAACACTAATTTTTCTCAAATTATACCAAAAAATTGAAGGGTAGGAAATTCTTCCAAACTCATTCTACAAGTCCAGCATTACCCATGTGCTAAAACCTGATAAAAAATACAACAAAAATGTAGAAAACTATAAGCCAATATCATTGATAAACATAGATGTAAAAGTTCTAGAAAAATACTAGCAAACAGAATGCAACAACACATCAAAAATATTATATACCATGATAAAGTAGGATTTATTCCAAGGATGCAAGAATCGTTCAATATATGTAAACTGATAAATGTGATACACTACATCAGGGGAATAAAGGACAAAAGATGTGATTATCTCAATAGACGCAGAAAAAAACATTTGATAAATGTCAACATCACTTCATGATAAAAATTCTCAACATATTAGATATATGAGGAATGTATCTCAACCCAATAAAGGCCATATGTGACAAACCCACTGCCAACATTATACTGATTAAGGAAAAGTTGAAAGCTTTTCCTTTAAGACCTGAAACAAGACAAGCACGCTCACTTTGATGCCCACTTTCACCACTGTTATTGAACACAGAACTGGAAGTCTTTACCACAGCAATTAGGCAAGTGAAAGAAATAAAAGCCATCCAAGTTAGAAAGGAGGAAGTGAAATTGTTCCTGTTCACAGATGACATAATTTTATACAGAGAAAAGCCTAAAGATTCCACCAAAAAAACTCTAAGAACTGATAAACAAATTCTGTAAAGTTACATGATGCAAAAATCAACATACAAAAATTAGTAGCAGTTCTATACAACAATAACAAACTAGCTGAAAAAAAATCAAGAAAGAAATCTCACAATAGCTACAAAAATATAAAAGATACCTAAAATATATATTTAACCAAAAGATAAGAAATATCTCTACAAGGAAGACTATGAAGAGGACACAATCAAATGGAAAGACATCCCTTGTTTATGGCTTGGAAGAATTAGTACTATGAAAGTAAACCTATTATGCACACCAATGTGTAGGTTCAACCCAATCCCTAACCAAATACAAAAACATTCTTTACACAAATAGGAAAACAATTCTGAACTTTATATGGAACCACAAAATATGTCAACGAGTAAAGCAATTCTAAGTAAAAAGAACAAAGTTGGTGACACACACTACCTGACTTCAAAATATATTATAAAGCTATAGTTATCAAAACAACATGATACTGGCATAAAAACATGGTACAAAATAGAAAACCCAGAAACAAATCTACATATTTACAGCCAACTGAGTTTTAAAAAAGGGGCCAAGAACTTACATTGAGGAAATAACAATCTCTTCACTAATCTGGGAAAACTGGATATCCATATGCAGAATAAGAAAACTAGACCGCTTTCTCTCACTATATGCAAATATGAACTCGAAATGGATTAAAGACTTAAATGTAAGATGGGGAACTATGAAACTAGTAGAAGAAAACACGGGAAACACTTCAAAACATTGGGTTGGGCGAAGAATTTATGGATAAGATATAAAAAAACACAGCCAATGAAAGCAAAAATAGACAAGAGGCATTATATCAAACTAAAAAGCTTCTGCACAGCAAAGGAAACAATCCACAGAGTGAAGAGAAAACCTGCAGAATAGTAGAAAATACTTACAAACCATTCATCTGATAAAGGATTAATATCTATAATACACAAAACCCCAAACAACTCAACAGCAAAATACCAAATAAATTGGTTTACTTATGAGCAAATTATATGAATAGACATTTCTGAAAAGAAAACATACAAATGTCCAACAAGTGCATAAAAAATAATCGACATCACTAATCATGATAGAAATGCAAATCAAAACCACAATGAGATATGACCTCACTCACATTACAATGGCTACTTACAAAAAGAGAAAAAAATGACAAATACTGGTGAGAATGTGGAGAAAAGAAAGATAACACTTATACACTGTTGGTGGTAATGTAAATTAGCATAGCCATTATGGAAAACACTATAAAAGTTTTTCAAAAAACTAAAAATGGTACTACCATTAAATCAACCAATCCATCTACTGTGTATATATCCAAAGGAAAGGAAATCAATATGTGAAATAGATATCAGCACTCTCATGTTTATTGCTGTGCTATTCATAATACTCAAAACATGGAATCAAACTAACTGTCCATTAATAGATGAATGTATTAAAAATATTTTATATATATATACATACACACACACACACACACACACACACACAATGAAATGCTATTTCGCTATAAGAAAAACCGAAATCCTGCCTTTCATGGCAATATGGATAACCCTGGAGGACATTAAGATAAGTGAAATAAGCCTGGCATCGAAGGATAAATACTGCACATTCTCACTTGTATGTGAAAGCAAAAATAAATTGCTCTCATGGAAGTAGAGTAGAATAATGCTTACTAGAGGCTGGGAAAGGTAGTGGTGAGGGCAGGATAGGGAGAGTTTGGTTAAGGGGTATAAAATTACAGCTAGATAGAAGCAATAGTTTCTAGTTTTCTATAGTACTGTAGAGTGATTACAATTAACAATAATTTATAGCGTATTTTCAAATAGCTAGAAGAGAGGACTTTGAATGTCCCCAACACAAATAAATAATAATTGTTTGAGTTGGTGGATATGCTAATTACCCTTATTTGATCATTACCCATTGAATACACGTATGAAAATCTCACACTGTAGCCCATAAATATGTACAATAATGTGCCAATTAAGAAAATATATGGAGATAAGCTCTCTGAAGCTATTCCAGCACATTCACTTTCCAGCAATATTCATTATTGTGATAAAGTACACACACACAGACAGACATGCATACACATGTATTATGTTACTTTAAACCAACCAAATGTGGATTAATCCAACACATTTTTACACTATTTTAATTTATTCATAGCTTTTAATGACAATGAAAAACTAGGCAGTTTTTTTCTGAATTACATAATCCTCAAACCTCTAATTCATAGCTTCCCAAATTTTGATGAATAAGAAGTTGTGGAAAGCAAATAGAACATTTGAAAACAGGTATAAAAGGCAAAATGAAATACAAGCCTTTCATCTGTAATTAGAGGTTTAAGTTATTAATGTGGTTTCTTAGCAAAGATTTCAGAAGAAAGAATGCATTGCAGCCATCACCATCTCAAAGTGTTCTTGGCATAATTTTGGATGGGGCAATTTATTAAATGAATTCATATTTTTCAGTTCTAAAAAAATTTAAAAAACTGTCTCAGAAACAGTCTGGTGATCTTTGCTAGTGTTCTGGCAGAGTGAAACATAGCTACGGCGGGCACAGTCTTAAAGGATAATTAATTAAAGAAACTGAATTAATTAAAAAAGCTGCAGGAGTTAGGTCTTCATTATGCAAGGTACTTTCTTTTTCATGTTTCCTGTCACTCCTGAGATATATTTTATAAACTGATAGAACCATATGAGACTAAACATGAAGCTCCCATTTAGAGAATAATTCCATGATTACATGAATATGTTATATTGACATTGCCAGGATAAACTCTATGCTCAGCAATGAGAATACATACAGATCTGAATGATATGTCTAGCTTCAGATAAAGCAACAATATTCATGATCCATTGTGTCATGTGCCATGAATCTGAATATCTAATAAAACAGATTCAGAAAATATCAAATTCAGGTCTAACGTGCTACTTTTTATCTGTTGATTCTTTAAAATTACTTAAAGCATGAAATATCAACATGAGATTTTGATACTTGGAATTTTCTTGCAACCATGGTTTTTCCTACAATCATCATTAAAATATCTAGCATATGCTCAACACTTAATATTTACCATTCTACTTACTATACGAATCCCTTTTATATACATTTTCTCAATTAGTTCAAGAAACAGGATCATGGCAATACTTTTCATCCTTATAAAATTAATATAAAATTCTAATTGTAAAAATGTAAAATTAAGCAATTGAAGCTTAGGGAGTTAAAAGAACTTCTCTGTCAAACATTTGAACAGTAGTTTACTTACTCCAAGAGACTCACCTCTAAAGCACTATTTTATACCAACTGGGCTATATATCCAAATTTCAGTTTTGTGTTTGTCATTTTATCAACTTCTTGAAAAAACTAAAATACAACATATATGTAATCTACAATAATATATCATTTAATTACTGCATTTGGTCTGAGGAAATAAAGATTAATCAGACTTAATTATTATCCTCAAGTAAGTCTCAGACTTGTGAAGACCTACTTCGAAGAAAATGATTAGGCCGGGCACGGTGGCTCACACCTGTAATCCTAGCACTTCGGGTAGATTACTTGAGGTCAGGAGTTCGGGACCAGCCTGGCAAACATAGTGAAACCCCTGTCTCTACTAAAGTACAAAAGACTATCTGGGCATTGTGGCACACTCCTGTAATCCCAGCTACCTGGCAAGTTGAGACAGGAGAATCTCTCGAACCGAGAAGCAGAGGTTGCAGTGGTTGAGATCGTGCACTGTAGCCTGGGAGACAGAGAAGTTCTGTGTCTTACCAAAAAAAAAAAAAAGAAGAAGGAGAAGAAAGAAAAGAAAAGAGAGTGATTATATTTACTGTGATAATTGATCCTAGAGGCATAAAGTGCTGTATAAACAACACTTAAGCAGGGCCCAACTTTCTCTGGCACGGCAGGGTTTGATAGGCAGCCTAGGTAGAGAGAAGCAATATACCTTCAACTATATTAACTTTGATAAACATGAAGAGGTGGATGCTACTAGTCCCCTGCTAGATTCATTTTGGCTGTGACACCCATCGCCAATGAGTGAAAATAATGGCTGATAGCAACTCATGTCTTCCTGTTTCTCTGGAGAATTGGCCCTTGCACCCTTATGTTTATCCCCTGCAGGCTAAACCAATTTCACTTCTGCAGGCTGATCTCTGCCAATGTCTGAGTGACACATACGATACACATTCCCCCTGTTGCTTTAAAGAGGGAGTATGTCTGTGGTACAAATTTTGCTTCATAACTTCCAAGTGTTTCAGTGTTTTAGTCCTCAAATGATAACTCACATTTGTTTAGCTTTTCTCTCTGTTTTCTAGCCTGCTTCATTCACTCTCCTCGTTGAGATCAACCATTTAAATAATTTGAACAAGAATTTTCATCTCAGGCTCTCCTTCTAAGAAACCAAATAAAAGACATGGTGTCACAGCAGTAAAAGTTTAAGATAGGATACAGCTGAATGAAGAAGTTAGGCAAGTAACAATTATGAACTTATGTTTTCATAAGACATTGTGTGTGTGTTTATATGTACTGTTGGTGTGTGTGTGTGTGTGTGTGTGTGTGTGTGGGTGATCATAAGGTCCTTGAAATGAAAGATCTTACTTTCTTCACCTTTATGTCTCTTCCTGTTACATCCCTTCAGTCTTAGATTGGTCTCACACGGGTCACATTTCTCACACCTAGAACTGCATATTTCATACTTCACATAGTAGAGAATACTAAAGCCTTTTCAAATAAATGAACAAGGATGTAAGATTCTAAATTCAACAATGTTGTAAAATTTTATTAATTTACCACAATGCTTGACAAAATATTTTACCAAACATTGTTTATCAAATGCCCTGATATATTTAATATGTTTAAATAGATTCAAGGATAACTGTCATAACAAATTGTTATTTGGACATGCTAGTGTTCAAATGCAACATGGTGACTCTAATAATTTGTCAAAAAATACAACTCCATTAGAGATGATTATATTACGTAATTGAAAAGTGAGAAATTATAATGTAAACAGTTCTATCTTAACCTAGTGTCAAACAGGTTAAGAAACAGAGTCCGTTCTCTCTCCTTAACATGTGGCTTTTCTCCAGTTTGAAATGAAGGCATAATTTTGCCCAGTCATAATTCTTCCCACAGTCCCAATCCTACATCCACCTAGACATCCAATAGCAAAATAAGAGAGTTCTATTTTAGTATATTATCACACACTTTTCACGATTGGCTTGCTTACAAAATGGTTACTAGGCCTATTCCTGAAATAAATGCTATGGCCAGGATATAGATCTATATAAACGGACTAGAACCACCATATCATCTGGTGTTCTCTCAATAAAATCCACTGTGGATGGGAGGATTTGGTTCTTCAGTTGGCATAATGTGGATCACTTGTCCTAAGTGCAGTACCAGGGCTGGAGACCTTCCTTATTCATATGGACTGAGAGAATGGCAGACGGGGACATTTTCAGAAAGTAATTAAGAATGATAGGCAAGCCCAAAGCAAAAAGTTCCTCCACAGAAATGACAGTTATGTTGAATCAATTAATACTCAGCCAATGTATTAAAAGTGTACCTAGAAATTATGCTACATTACAGAAAATAGATAAGAATATTATGTTTCAAAATTTTATAAATGCAAATGAAAAATTTTAAAACTTGAACTAGAATTAACTAAAGCACTCAAATAGAGTGACAGTAAATATCTCTATCTCTACAATTATGTAAAAATATAAAATATCTCCTGTTTATAAGCCAATTTTGAATAAATTGAGATTATAGCACATACTCATTGACCTGGTTATGAGTTCTTTGGTCCCAATATATTTGTTATAAATAAAACACAGATACATGAAAAACGTGTAAAAATATGGTTTAATGGCTGGGTGCCGTGGCTTACGCCTGTAATCCCAGCACTTTGGGAGGCCGAGGTGGGCGGATCACAAGGTCAGGAGTCCAAGACCAACCTGGCCAACATGATGAAACCCCGTCTCTACTAAAAATACAAAAATTAGCTGGTCTTGGTGGCACGTGCCTGTAATCCCAGCTACTCGGGAGGTTGAGGCAGGAGTCTTGCTTGAACCAGGACCCAGGAGGAGGAGATTGCAGTGAGCCAAGATCCTGACATTGCACTCCAGCCTGGGTTACAGAGCGATACTCCATCTCACTAAATAAATAAATAAATAAATAAATAAATAAATAAATAAATAAATAAATAAAAATATGGTTTAATACATTTTTATGAAGTGTACAATATTCTAACCAATACCCAGTTCAAGGAATAAAACTTTGCCCACCCCCCCATTAAATTCCTGTCTTGTGTTCAGTCCCAATATCAAATCCTTCTTTTCCCATACAAGTAACCATTATCTTGTTTAATCATCAATTCTTACATTTCTTTATAATTTTACCTTATTGAATAATTTTATTATAATTTTTGTATAATTTGTATACCTAGACACTAGAAGTTTTGTGATCTGTATGGTATATTTTACTTTAAACGTTCTCCCTCCATCTTGTAATTTCCCCCTTACTATGTATCTGTTAAAGTGCCTCTTCCTTTTGACCAATGGAGTTTTCCACAGTTTCTGGATTCTGTTGTTGCATTTCAGCGTGTTCCTCTGTTCTTCATAGTTCTCCAAAATTGTCACAGAATCTCAGAGTTTAATTTAAGCTTGATTTTCATCCCTTTGGCCAGATTATTATTGTTGTTATGTTATTTCATAAGGAGTCTCATTATATCTGCTATTCCTTTTTTTTTTTTTTTTGGACATCACTAGCCATTGATATTCACTGCAAGATACATTGATTTATTGGAGGCTGACAATTGGTAATATTCGGTTATATGTTTGTATTTATATATTGAATCATGTTATAAATCATCACTTATCTTCATCTATCCTTTGATTATCTAGTGGTATGGTTCACAGAGAAAAGGCCACATAAATATTTTGTTTTAGTCACTATATTTGAAAATGCTGAAATTGTTAATATTTTAATAATCATTATAAACTAATGGATTTGAACACATATGTTGTAATTTGTCGCAATTATTGTATTTGATGAGCTCAAATGATGTCATATTTGACAGCAGAAATCTTTTCAGTTTCTTGTTTTAACATTTTGATAGTACCCCATAAACACTGATAGCTTTCTTGCTATCTGATGTAACAAGATACTCCAGGGTCATCTTGTAAATTTTTGCTCCAATACTGGAATTAGTCATTTTTCTAAGAAACACTGCTTTCTTTAAGTAAGAGATGACATTTTATGACTACAGTCAGATAACTAGAGATGCTCATTGCTACTTTATTATTCATTGTTTTTAAGCATTTTCAGTGGTCACATAGAAAAATATATAATACACACAAGCATACACAAACACTATAAAATATGTTTCATATTCATGTGGATAATTTCAATCCAAACTCTTAACTACAGGATTTTTACTAAAATACCACTGAATTGCACCTATGTCTCCTCTCTTACTCACTGACAGTACTGGTTCTCAAGATTACAGAGAATATGGAAATCGAATATACCATAATTAATTATTTGCTATGTTGAAATATACAGTATTTGAAGCATAGCCATATTAGTACTATTAATATGTATCAGTCAGAGTTCTCCAATGAAACTGAACAATCAGGATGATAGGATAGATGGACAAATAAATACATAGATCAATAGATATATGTATAGATAAAATATGATATATGGTTTAATAAATTTTATATATACTCTATTCATTCTTCCCCCTCCACTTACAAGTCACATTATATACATTGATAGAACACAAATCCACTACATACTATTCTTTGTAGCTTATCAGAAGTTCATTATTCATTCATGGGTCAGAAAACTTGTTATCATGAAGGACTAGATAGTATACATTTAAGGGTTTTTTTAGGCCATATATTCTCTCTCGCAATTACACAGGTATGCCATTCTACTGTGAAAGCACTATTAAAGGATGTGTTAATAAGTGAACATGACTGTGTAAATATAACTCCTTATTAAAAAAAAAAAACAGAATCAAAGCAGTTTGGCCCATGAATTATAGTTTTCTACTGCTTGCTCTGCTAGATTGCTCAGGAAGTGCTCATGAAAACATTCCCTCAGTTTTTGCATGTTGATAACAATTTGTCTGTGGTCATCATACTTGATAGTTACTTTTGTTGGTCATAAAATCTTTGGCTCACGTTTTTTTCTTTGATATTTTCTTTGATTTCTTTAAATGTTTTATACCATCTTCTTTGGCTATAAAGCATTATAATGATGTTTTCTGATATTTCATTTCTTTCCTTTTCTATGCCATTTACTCTTTGTCTAGATGCTTAAGTGTTTTGATATTTTTTCTTAAAATACAGTAATTTTACTGGAATCTCTCATGGTATTGGTCATTCTGGGTTGATATTCTCAAGTTAGTGGTGTGCTCTTCTTGTATATGCAGCCCCAACACTATTTAATTTTTTTTCTTGGGTTACGGTTTTTAGGATTTTTTTGTGTGTCCCTTTGTTTTTTTACCTATAGGAACTCCTATGATCCATGCATTGAAGTATCTTTAAATATATTAAATACTTGTTAGTTTTCCAGAATCTGTTTTGTATTTGTGCTCAGTTCTATTTTTTTCCCAGTTCCAATAAGTCTTTATTTATTCATCGTATTTTCCCAGGAAAGAAGAGAAGTGAAAAAGTCAACATGTGTGTTACAAAATGATTAGAAAATAAGAAAGTTTCCAGTACAGCAAAATAAACCATCAAATAAACACACCCAGCGATGGGGGTCACCAAAGTCCAAAGGGGCTCAGTCTCCTACAGTTCAGGAATGAGGGGAAAGGATCAGGAAAAGAACAGAGAGATATAGGCTTTCCTACCCTCCCATTCTCTCCCCATAAATTAATAGTTTCACACAAATCTTTGGTTTCTACCAGTCAACAAGACGTTACATCCATATGTCTCCTACTAAACAATCTTGTGGCCACTTTGACATGTTTCTTGCACCTGCATAAAAGTTCCTGAGTCACTTGGATACATATTCATATTCCCTTTCTTGGCCTCCTTACCCCACTTCTTCCTGAAAGGTCCTCAATTACTTTTCTCTGCTTTAGGATTAAGGATTAAGTAGGATGGATCCAAACAAAATAAAGCAGTATCTTAAGTGTTTGTCACGAGTCACATCAAAAAATGGTCTTGACTCAGGAGTTTGGGAACAAGAGATGGAAGTTTCCTAGCTTCTTCAGGATTTTTGCATAATTGGTTTAAGATGTGGAGATCATCCAAAAATTAAATGTGTATGCATGTGGGTGTATAGGTTTTCTTATTGAGAGAGATGGAAAAGAGGGCAAAGTAGGAGACACATTTTTAGAACAGATGTGGTCCAACAGGTAAAAGGAGATGGGGAACACAAAAGAAAGGATGGTTCAAGGTCTCCACTTTAAGAAGGCGGCCCCAAAAACTAATGTCTCAGATATTTTTGTCTGGTACCCAACCATCTTTGAATGCTTTGGCTATGTTTCTGTCAATACAAAATGTTTGTAAACATAAACCCCAAAGAACATAGAGAAAGACCAACACATTATATTTACACAAACTAGGCCATCTGGCAATCACCAATTCAGTGATGTTCTAAAAGCCCAGAGAAATACAAAAACTAGAATGGGGGCAGCATTTGGGAGACAAGAACCCAGGATCAAACCCACACCACCCAAGGAGCTCTATTGCATTCTTCCCAATTCAACACAGGAAAGTAGGTTTGCAGTGATCTTACAGTGAGCAAATGAAACTCTCTTTTTACTCCTTTAGCTACCATGACACTACTGATCATCACTGCAGCAGGGCAGAACAGTGGCTTCAGGCACCACAAAGAACCCCCATTTGTGGGTCTCCCTGGAACCCCCACATTTTGAAATGTTGAGGATTTTAGTCCTTGCTTTGTATATCCATCCCTTGACAGCACAGGCTGTACACAGAAGAATCCATTCTGATTCTTAAAGTGGAGATCTTGAACCATCCTTTCTTTTGTGTTCCCCATCTCCTTTTACCTATTGGACCACATCTGTTCTAAAAATATGTCTCCTACTTTGCCTTCTTTTCCATCTCTCTCAAAAAGAAAACCTACACACCCACATGCATGCACATTTAATTTTTGGATGATCTCCACAACTCTTAAACCAATTATGCAAAAATCCTGAAGAAGCTAAGAAACTTCCATCTCTTGTTCCCATCTTAAAACTATCTATAAATCGTTCAAGGTGTGCACTGGGTTGAGCTTCCTGTCCGTGACCACCTGCTCTGGAGTTGCACTTGAGCTCCCAGTGGACATCATTGTGCACCAGAGTAAGCTGCACGTGGAGGGCTTCCAGAGCTGGAAGGAGGATGAGGCAGTGGACTTCACCTGTAAGAAGTCTACCAAGGGTCTGAAATCTATCTGTGTCACCAGACCTAGTGGGATGTTCTGTATTGAAAATGAGAGGCAGACAAAGGGGAGAAAAATGCAGATATCAAAAGGAGGCAGGTCCCAGCACTTTGGGAGGCCGAGGCAGGCAGACTACGAGGTCAGGAGATTGAGACCATCCTAGCTAACATGGTGAAAACCCATCTCTACTGAAAATACAAAAAATTAGCTGGGCGTGGTGGCATTCACCTGTAATCCCAGCTACTTGGGAGGCTGAGGCAGGAGAATCTGTTGAACCCGGGAGGCGGAGGTTGCAGTGAGCCGAGATCATGCCACTGCGCTCCAGCCTGGGCAACAGAGTGAGACTCCATCTCAAAAAAAACAAAACAAAACAAAACAAAAAAAAGAGGCAGGCAGGTGGCACAAGAGTGGAGATCTAAACCATCATGCCAAGGAATGCCAGCTGCCACATCAGCCCAAGAAGCACCACTGTGCAGAGCATCAGTCATACCGTTGCCTCATATCTGCTGAAGGCCCAGCAAGCCCCTAGCACACAGGGAAAGCCAGCCTATTTTGGGGAGGAAGAGGAAGATACACACAGCTGTGCCCTGTTCCCTGAGGCCCAGAATTGAGCCACTATGGGTGGAGGCTCTTCTTTTGCTACCAGGAATTTTCAAGCAGCAGGAAGAGTGGAGAGAGTGGTAATAGGGTGGACTGGGGCTAGGTGTCACTGTCATGGATCTCGGGCTGTGGTTCACAGCATCCCCTCTTCTTCCCCCTTGATCAGGGGAACACGTGAAGCAAAGGAACTCCAACCATGTTCTGTCCAAATACAGTGAGCGCTTTTGGGAAGAAATCAGCGGAGAACCTTTATGCTTTATCAGAGGCCCCATCCCCAGAATTCTCAGCTTTTGAAAATGGCCTGGACAGGAAAGTCATTTTCCTTTACATGAAGGTATAATAATAATTCCTATGCTAGAATGAAAGGATTGGGTGTAGGACGAGATTTATGTATCCAAGCCACTACGTTATGCGGGAGAAAATCTCTTAGGAGTAAAGCAGTGTTTTGTTTTGTTTTCACATCTTGTATCCTCATACTCACTCTTGGGATAGGGTGTTGGGAACTGTCCCAAACAATGAATAGTGATGAAGGTGAAAGCGATGGTTGGGAAACAGCTGCAGATCTGCTGCTCCTATGATTGACTACCTCCACCCCTACCCCATTCTGATCAATGTGATTTTGTTTATTCACTCCCTTGGATACTGCACCTTGAGTCTCACTTTCTTCGGGATGCCAACTGTACACTAGCTGTGTGCAAATGATGTATCTTGTTCATTTGAATTTTTTTCCTTAATATAACCATTGTAGTTTTGTATTTTTGTATATTTCAATTTAAGGCCCTCATTCCTGCACTGAATTCTCAGGTACATGAGCAATCTTAGGGATAAGACACCAGAAGCTCCAGGTCTGCACACCAGGAATACTTTTTGTTGTTTTTATTACCTTGGAGAGTAACTACTTGGAGTGCACAGCCTATTGAACTACATCATTTTTGCCAATGAGAGCTGACTTTTTGGCCATAGTGTCCTCTTGAAACCCTCTCCACCTTGAAAATGTTTCATGGGAAACTTAGTTTTAACTGGGTTGCTCTATGACTTGATCATTTCCTTCTGGAAGATTGGAAATTAGTCTAAACGGGAAAAGGTGGTGCAGAGAGGTTAGGAGAGGCTGGGCCAGAGCAGAAGCCAAGGTTAGGTGAGGGTTGTCTAATTCTAGGACACAGGACATGTTTTACATACCAGGTCCATTCTTCACAGGATTAGGCTAGGCCTACGACACACAACAGGGGATTGTGTGTGTGTGTGTGTGTGTGTGTGTTTCTCTAAAAAACTGTGAACTTATAAGGATAACTTTTAAGATAATTTATATTTCTTAATATACTTTTTATTTTGAAACAATTATAGAGTAATAAAAAAAATTAATGGTAGTAAAAAAAAAAGATGTCTTTTCCATGCTTCCCCTAATGTTAACAACTTACATAACCATAGCACATTTGACAAAATTATAAAATTAAAGTAGGTATAGTATTAGCTATATTACTTATTCTTTTTTTTTCAGGATCTAAACAAGTACTCTACATTACATTTAAGTCCATAAACTTTTTAAAATATACTTTTTAATTACAGAATAGTTTTAGATTCATAGAAAGTTTATGAAGATAGTATGGAGAGTTGGTATTATCCCACACTCAATTTCCCATGTTATTAAGGATTTATATGAGTATGGTATATTTATCACAGTTAATGAACCAATATTGATATATTACTATTCATTAAAGCCATTATTTCTTTCCTTTTGTAGTTCTATTGTGTTTTATTTAACACGTAATCATTGTACCTATTTGTGGGATACAGTGTGATGTTTTGATGCATGTATATATTGTGGAATGATCAAATCAGAGTATTCAGCATACTCATCACCTAAAATATTTATTATTTCTTTGGCCAGGCATGGTGGCTCACACCTGTAATCCCAGCACTTTGGGAGGCTGAGGTGTGTGGATCACCAGGTAAGGAGCTTGAGACTAGCATGGTAAACATGGTGAAACCCTGTCTCTACTAAAAACACAAAAAATAGCCTGGCATGGTGGCGGGAGCCTGTGATCCCAGCTACTCGGGAGGCTGAGGCAGGATAATTGCTTGAACCCAGGAGGTGGAGGTTGCAGTAAGCCTAGATCACGCCATTGCACTCCAGCCTGGGCAACAAGAGTGAAACTCCATCTCAAAAAAAATATATATATATATTGTTTCTCTGTGTTGAGACCATTTAAAGTCCTCTCTTTATAGCAGCATGATGTATAATCCTTTGGGTATACACCCAGTAATGGGATGGCTGGGTCAAATGGTATTTCTAGTTCTAGATTCCTGAGGAATCGCCACACTGACTTCCATAATGATTGAACTAGTTTACAGTCCCACCAACAGTGTAAAAGTGTTCCTATTTCTCCACATCCTCTCCAGCACCTGTTGTTTCCTGACTTTTTAAATGATTGCCATTCTAACTGGTGTGAGATGGTATCTCATTGGGGTTTTGATTTGCATTTCTCTATGTTTATTGTGGCACCATTCACAATAGCAAAGACTTGGAACCAACCCAAATGTCCAACAATGATAGACTGGATTAAGAAAATGTGGCACATATACACCATGGAATACTATGCAGCCATAAAAAATGATGAGTTCATGTCCTTTGTAGGGACATGGATGAAGCTGGAAACCATCATTCTCAGCAAACTATCGCAAGGACAAAAAACCAAACACCGCATGTTCTCACTCATAGGTGGGAATTGAACAATGAGAACACATGGACACAGGAAGGGGAACATCACACTCTGGGGACTGTTGTGGGGTTGGGGGAGGGGAGAGGGATAGCTTTAGGAGATATACCTATTGCTAAATGACAAGTTAATGGGTGCAGCACACCAACATGGCACATGTATACATATGTAACAAACCTGCACGTTGTGCACATGTACCCTAAAACTGAAAGTATAATAATAATAAAATAATAAATAAATAAATAAATAAAGTCCTCTCTTACAGTTATTTGGAAGTACACAATGCAATATTTTAAGCTATGGTCACCTTGCTATTCTATAGAACATCAAAACTTATTCTCCTATCTACCTACGATTTTCTAGTCATTGACCAATCTCTCTTCAACCTCTTTTTCCTTCTACCCTCCCCCAGCCTCTTGTAACCACTATTCTACTCTGTAAGTCTATGAGATCAGCTTTTTCAAAGATGCCAAATGAATGAGATCATGCTGTACTTGTCTTTGTGTGCCTGACTTCTTTGACTTAACCTAATAACCCTTCACATTCATTCACACTGTCTCAAATCACAGGATTTCATTTTTTTTCATGCTTCAATAGTATCCCATTGACTATCTGCCATATTTATTTATTTTATAATGTATTTTTGCTGTGCCATGATTCCAATCATGATACCAAATTACATTTAGTCATTACGTCTCTTTAGGCTCCTCATAGCTGTGGCAGTTTCTAAGACTTTATTTTTTATTTTTTTTTATTTATTTATTTTTTTTTTTTTTGAGACGGAGTCTCGCTCTGTCGCCCAGGCTGGAGTGCAGTGGCGCGATCTCGGCTCACTGCAAGCTCCGCCTCCCGGGTTCACGCCATTCTCCTGCCTCAGCCTCCCGAGTAGCTGGGACTACAGGTGCCCGCTACCACGCCCGGCTAATTTTTTGTATTTTTAGTAGAGACGGGGTTTCACCGTGTTAGCCAGGATGGTCTCGATCTCCTGACCTCGTGATCCGCCCGCCTCGGCCTCCCAAAGTGCTGGGATTACAGGCGTGAGCCACCGCGCCCGGCCTATTTTTTATTATTTTTCAATTTAATGAGGAGAAAATACTGGATAGGTATTTTGTAGATTTCACTCAAATGAGATTAACCTGATGCTTGTCTAATGATTAAACTGGGGTTATGTAATTTGGGGAAGAAGGCCACAGAGGTAAAATGTCTTTCTCATCAAATCACATTAATGGTACACACAATCAACGTGACTAACAAGACTTACCACTATGAGTTTTCATCTTGATTACCTGAGTTCATTAGCTCTTTACTTAGTTATTCTTTCCTCTCCCACTTTCTATACAGTACTCTGCAAGAAGTTAATATGTGCAGGAAACTTTTAGTGAGTGGGAAATTAAGAGCTGTCTGCCATCAATTACTTAATATTCTTTGGTACAAGATATTTGTGTTTTTTTCATATTTAGTTTTTTTCAGTAGATTCATAAAGTTTACATTGAGTTATTATAATCCAATACCACTCTGTTTATTTTTTGTTGAATTTTCCAGCCTTGCTCATCCTCAGCTCTTTCACTGGTTTCTTTGTTCCTTTGGACTTTTTAATTTTAATATTGTCTTACGTTCTGGCACTAAAAGATACCCCAGGCTCATATCATACATACCTCGTCATTGTGCTAAAATAAGCCACTTATCTAAAAAGCCCTGGTACCGTTCATTGGAGAACGATATTAGAAAGAAAAGTACTATGCTCCTGGGCTGTAATTCCTTCTAGGATTTCTACACAAGAAAATATACATGTGTATTACTAACCTGTGTATATACACATATCTATAGATATTTTTAATGTATCCATGTGCATGTATCTTAACATAAACTTATACTGATATATCAAAAACTAATCGATTACTGCTTGATCATTCAAGCTTTTCTTCTCTTTTCTTTTTTCTTTTTTTTTTTTTTTTTTTTTTTTAAGACAGAGTCTTGCTTTCTTGCCCAGGCTGGAGTGCAATGGCGCAATCTCGGCTCACTGCAAGCTCCGCCTCTCGGGTTCACGCCATTCTCCTGCCTCAGCCTCCCGAGTAGCTGGGACTACAGGCGTCTGCCACCACGCCTGGCTAATTTTTTGTATTTTTAGTAGAGACGGGGTTTCACCATGTTAGCCAGGATGGTCTCAATCTCCTGACCTCGTGTCTGCCTGCCTCGGCCTCCTAAAGTGCTGGGATTACAGACGTGAGCCACCGCAACTGGCCTCAAGCTAATCCTTAATAACCCACTCCACTCCAACAATAAGAAATGTTGCTTTAGTTTGTTTCTGTTTATCTTCCAGATATTTGGATTATAATATGCATTGTTCACATACTTTTTTTTGTCGTATGTATATGCGTATTCGCTCTATCTTTTATAAATTGAATACTTTTACTGTCCTGGCGTATTTACTTTTGTAGAATGTGTAACACTTTGTTTTTTAGATAATGAATGTCTAGTTAATAGTGATTAGGTTTTCTTTCTTAAGTCAGATAGTTAGTTAAAAGATTTGTAAGTCTGATAGCTCAATTTTATAAAATAAATGGCTCAATTTTTATATAATTTTTTAAAGTAAATTTGAAGTCTTAAGTAAAGATATGTATAATTCTTTATTAATGGGGTAAACTTATATAAGGCAAACCAATATTATATGTTTTTAAAATAAAACTATTGATTTTTGATAGTCATAATTTACTGAAGATAAAAAACTTTGAGTGAAACAAAATGTAATATCTCAACTATACAAATATATCTTTAATATTACCACCTTTCAATAACATCTTAATTTTTCTTATGTATAAGAAAGTTTTGCATGCTTTGATATAATAAAATTATGTACCAAAAATGATATTTCCTTCTAACAATTCCAAGCCTCACACTGATTATTTCCTTACAGTTGACATAAACGTTATTTGTTGCCTTTCAGGTGAATTCAATCTGTAGGAAGCCTGGAGCTGTCAAAATGATTTTGATAAAAAGCTGGCTTCAGAATGTTATTTTTTCCTTTCTAATTTGTAACAGATGCCTCTTAAAATCATAAATATATTCCCTGGAGATAATTCATCACAGTGTGAATTTAATACATAATTATTTGAAGGTATGAAGCATTTTGATGGATCCTTATAATAATATTAATCAGATCATTCTTGTCTCAACACTTACTCTGCCTGACTTGCAAATATATATGTACACCTAATAACTTTTATGAATATATAGTCGTTTGAATTTTCTTGTGATTATGTACATATATATGCACAAATGGTATTATGCAAAGAACATGCACTAAATTTAGATCATTTAAGGAATAAGTTGAGGAAATGGTAAGTAATGCTAAATAGGTCTTTTTTTTTACTCTGAAATGTCTATATATATGTGTGTGTGTATATATATATGTGTGTGTATATATATATATATGTAACTATTACATATATTTATATTTGCAGTTGCTTGCTTAATTTACCTTCATGGTTATGGTTTTTAAGCCATATCTTCTGATTAGAGCAAGTCTTTATTTGTAGAATATTATGAACTAATGAATGCAGAAGGAAAAGCAAAATCGGTACAGTCACCATTTAGCAAACACTAAAGAAATAATTGATTCAAGAAAAGAACATAAAGAACATAAATGAGTACTTAAAAAAAACTTACATAAAATATTTATGAGAAAATAACTCCCAGAGCTTGCCAAATTTCACCTGCCGATGATTTGCTGGTCATAGGGAAAAAGCATCTTTACCAGCCAGGACTCATATTCTACCACCTGAAACCACTAACAAAATTAACTTCACTAATCATGGGACAACCAGGCATTTTATACACCTACCTGCTGAAACATGAAGTAAACCATATGCAATTTTTTTCCTTTTTTTTCTGCAATGACAAATGGAAAATGAATTTTCAGTTTATGGTATACACAGGGGGCAGAGGAACATGCTAAACAATAAGAAGGCAACAAGATAAGTTAGAATGCAGGAAATTCTGTAAGACAAGTAAGCCAGTTAATGGCATAAAAATAGGTGATATTCAAAATTAAAAGATTTAAGAGACATAATGTCTAATGCCCTATGTGTACTTTAATTAAAATATAGTGATGATAAAAAAGTACTTTCATATATGTGAAAGAAAATCAGAAAATAATCTTGAAGATGGGCTGTATATTAGATGAGATTATTAAATTGCTGTTGCTAATTTTGTTACAGTTGATAATGATATTTTGATTGTATAAGAATATACCTGTACTCTTGCCGAGACAAAATGAAGAATTTTGGTGTAAAATGCCATAATATCAGAGCTATGCATTATAAAACTTCAGCAAAAAATTAATTAAATATGGCAAAATGTTAAATTTCCTATCAAATCAGATATATGGGGGTTAATTATAATATTCTCTCTATTTTATATATGCTCATTTTAAAATAGAATGTCAAAATATATAGCAAAATGCAAACCAAAAGTAAACACTGTTTCCTGTAATTGGATTTTACTTGTGAAGCTTCTTTTTCTCACACTTTTACCAAAATTTTTTTCTACTTTTTACTCTAAAGGTTGACAAATGAAAGCAGCCTATAAACCTAATAGTCAAAGAAAAAGCTTTATTCTTCTTCTAATTAGATGTTTTCAGTGAACTCAGAGTCAAAGAATGGAATTATGAACCTGCCATCTAAAGAAACATGACTCCCATTGGTACAGAAGGGCCAAATTTAAGCTGTTGAGCTGGCAACAGACACACTGGAAACAAAATGAAATGACTCCGTAATTCAATTTTCACATGTGGAAATTTGGAAAATTGTTATCTATGCATTATATTTGTTAGAAGGAGTAAATTAATTGATATATGTAAAGTGCTTAAAACATGCCTGGTACATAATGAGGAATAAACAAAATACTAGCTAGTATCATTTTATTAGTATTTATTATTGGGATGGACAGTTTTCTATAGAAAGTGAAGAAGCAAAAATAATTCATAGTCCCAGATGAATTATTTGCTTGTCATAGGGAAAACGCAGTTTTATGAATTGCTTGAATTAGCTAAAATGGCTTTTTACAAAACTGAAAAGGAAGAAGGTAGCCATGAGGTGATGAAGCAGAAGTCTTTTTGTTTGTCCAATCAAATAAATGCTAGATAAAAATGATTAGCGAATAAACTAAATATAAATAACCTTCTATCAGTCACTGATTATTTAGATTGGTCAGAATTCCTTGAATTTCTGGAAAACTTTAATAAAAAACTAGAAAAATGTTTTATAATGCATATACCTTTAATAAGAAAATGTGTTTTTCAAATGATGTTAAATTTTTCCTTATACTTAACATAAACAATTATAATTTTAATCAACCTTAGGGTTAAGAAATAACTTTTTTAAGTTTTCACTTTTATGTCTATATTTTTGGTATCAATTTACTAAGTGCAAGATTATCTAAAACCCATACCAAATCTTTTATCTATAAAGTGTGTATCAGTATATCACAGCGCTTTTATTTTTCCAGTAGTTACTTAAGTGATCCTACAGACTCCAATTTTTTTCCTCCCAATATTCCTAATCTTTGCAGATCTGTCTATCTATATCTAGTTTTCTTGATGCCATGTAACTCTGTAAAACCTTTATGTTTATCATATCGTATATAAAATAATCTCCCTATTTTGACAGTGAAAGCCTGGTCCAAAATGATCATCGTCTGGACTTAACATTTTTCCAACTACTTTCCACATAAAGAATCTGTTAAACCAAATTAATCTTAGCCTTTTCATTTCAAGCATGCTAGGTTTACTTCTGCCTGATATGTCCCATTCCGTTCCAATGCATGTATTATTTTAACTTATTTTCTAGAGCGTACTAAGTCAATTTATATCTTCATAGTCTAGCAAGATCTCTACTTCACCTGATACTCTATATAGTAGCACTTCCTGAATAAGTAATTAAAAGCTTATCAAAGTGTTGGGTATGGATTCTAATTTATAGGCTGCTTTCATTTGTCAACCTTTAGAGTAAAAAATACAAAAAAATTTTGTTAAAAGTGTGTGTGTGTATATGTGTGTGTGTGTGTGTATATATATATATAAGACGTGTGTGTGTGTTGTGTGTATATATATGTCTCAAACCTTCCAAAGTGAATTATAATTGCATTTCCCTCACTTATCTCTTTACTTAACAAGCAATGAACATTAAATAAATGTGTGGTGTTGGTACACATGGATTCTAGATTTTCTTCATAAGGAATCCTATGACTATATATATTTAATCATTTATCTGTTAAACACTAAGCAAGGATGAAATAGAAATATTACAGTGTAGGCTTTGGGTCAGCCTTCTCTGAAGTTAATTACTGGCGCTATATCTTATTTGATATAAATTTACTTTGTTTATTTACCTTGCAGAGAATTGTTGTAGGGTTAAATAACATGGTAAACCTAAAGTTCCTAGTATTATGTCTGGTACAGAATAGCCGGTGTAATATTGAGGAATTTCTGTATGCCAAAATCTCTGCTCACTAATTCACTTAGGTCATTTCTCTAAATTCTCATACAACGGTTTGATAGAGGTTCTATTATTATTGCTATCTTTTTGATAATAAGTTTGATATAAAAATAAAGTAGTTTCCTTAAATTGTACATATAGTAAATCATTTTCAGAGTTGATACTTGATCCACACTCTATAAAATGTTTAATAAATATTGATTCTTTTTATTAATGTTTAGGTTAAGCCTGTGCAGTAAATGCCGATGACACACAAATGAATAAGGAATGAATACTGATATTCTAATAAAGAAAAACAAGAGAAAAGTGTGATATCCATCACTGGTACTTAAATTTGGTATCGGCAGAAAACATACAATTTCCCAAAAGTATATCATATTCCAGTGTTTTTCATATGCAATATTAGGTATGTACACATGTATTGCTTATATCACATATCATATATAGCATATATCATCTCATCTGTCAATTTTGAGTGAAATTGCTAGCGTAATCTTATGTTTATTTCATCATCAAAAAAATACTTGCTTATCTCTATAGCAAGGATGCGAACTTTTATTTTTCAAATTATATCTAAATATAAAAATAGATCACAAATGGATAAGGTCAGATTAGGAAATTGCTATTGAGAGAATTGCTAAATGCATACTCACACAGCTTCTTAAGAATACACAATTGCACTGTCTTTTTAACTTGTACAGTCTTCCTAATTCTCAGAAAACATTGTAGAGGAGTTTTAAAGGGGGAAGAATTTATCACCTATACATTTATTCATTGTATTTTCTGATATTATGTGTAAGGGTTGGTTGGTAAGAGATAGAAGATAAAGCAGGTTCTATTAAAGATTCAAATTTCATTGACTGATGTAAGCCCTGTTATGTTAATATGGGCACATATTGATTTTGCAAACTCAAGGATTAAGACAAAAGCAGCTAATAATAAGTATATTTTAAGAACAAATCCAGAGGCTATTATAGGTAAAACCATAGTGTGGATTCAATCTATACTCTGATACGCTGGTATGTAGACATTTTGCTAAGTAGACATTAGCATTAAGTAAGGAAAAGAAGTCAAATATGTTTAGTTAAAAATTGTTACTCAAATTTCATGGTGGATTATTTACAAAACATGGGAGAAAACAAGTAAAAATATTTAATTCTAAGGGCTCAGCTACCTTCAAAATGTTGAATAAAACGTTAAAGCAAGTGAAAAATAACTGCTGTTAGAGATAAAGCAAAGATTTTTGTTCTACTGTTAAAAGAGGAATTTAAAAATCTTACTTAAATATATTCCTCTTAAAGAATTTTTACAGAATAGAGGTAAACAATGTAAACAATAATGTGGAATAAAAAAGGTAGCTATGCAGTATACCTATCAGTATTTCTACACAAAATGAAATACTGGAGAGGTTCCAAGATTGCCGAATAGAAAGAGCTCCTGTCTGTAGCTCTGTAGCTCCCAGCATGAGCAACGCAGAAGACAAGTGATTTCTGCATTTCCAACTGAGGTACTGGGTTTATCTCACTGGGGCTTGTCAGACAGTGGGTGCAGCCCAAGGAGCAGGGTGGGGCATGGCCTCACCCAGAAAGCACAAGGGATCCAGGAATTCCCTTTCCTAGCAAAGGGAAGCCATGACAGACGGTACCTGGAAAATCAGGAGACTCCCACACTAATACTGTGCTTTTCCAACAGCCTTAGCAAATGGCACACCAGGAGATTATATCCTGTGCTTGTCTCAGAGGGTCCCACAGCCATGGAGGCTCACTCACTGCTAGCACAGCAGTCTGAGATCCAACTGCAAGGTGACAGCGAGGCTGGGGGAGGGTCATCCACCATTTCTGAAGCTTGAGTAGGTAAACAAAGTGGCCAGGAAGCTCAAACTGGGTGGAGCCCACCGCAGCTCAAGGAGGCCTGCCTGCCTCTGTAGACTCCACCTCTGGAGGCAGGGCATAGCTGAACAAAAGGCAGCAGAAACTTCTGCAGACTTAAACATCCCTGTCTGACAGCTTTGAAGAGAGTAGTGCTTCTCCCAGCATGGAGTTTGAGATCTGAGAACGGACAGACTGCCTCCTCAAGTGGGTCCCTGACCCCCAAGTAGCCTAACTGGGAGACACCTCCCAGTAAGGGCCAACTGACACCTCATACAGCTGGGTGCCCCTATGAGACAAAGCTTCCAGAAGAAGGATCAGACAGCAACATTTGTCATTCTGCAATATTTGCTGTTCTGCAGCCTCTGCTGGTGATATCCAGGCAAACAGGGTCTGCAGTGTACCTCCAGCAAACTCCAACAGACCTGTAGCTGAGGGTGCTGACTGTAAGAAGGAAAACTAACAAACAGAAAGGACATCTACACTAAAATCCCATCTGTACGTCACCATCAAAGACCAAAGGTAGATAAAACCACAAAGATGGGGAGAAACCCAGGCAGAAAAGCTGAAAATTCTAAAAATCACAGCACCTCTTCTCCTCCAAAAGAATGCAGCTCCTCACCAGCAACGGAATAAAGCTGGATGGAGAATGACATTGATGAGTTGAGAGAAGACGGCTTCAGACGATTGGTAATAACAAACTTCTCCAAGCTAAAGGAGGATGTTTGAACCCATCGCAAAGCTAAAAACCTTGAAAAAAGATAAGATGAATGGCTAACTAGAATAAACAGTGTAGAGAAGTCCTTAAATGACCTGATGGAGCTGAAAACCACGGCACAAGAACTACATGATGCATGCACGAGCTTCAGCAGCCAATTTGATCAAGTAGAAGAAAGGGTATCAGTGATTGAAGATCAAATGAATGAAATGAAGCGAGAAGAGAAGTTTAGAGAAAAAAGAGTAAAAAGAAACAAATAAAGCCTCCAAGAAATACGGGACTATGTGAAAAGACCAAATCTACGTCTGACTGGTGTACTTGAAAGTGACGGAGATAATGGAACCAAGTTGGAAAACACTCTTCAGGATTTCCAGGAGAACTTCGCCAACCTAGCGAGGCAGGCCAACATTCAAATTCAGGAAATACAGAGAACGCCACAAAGATACTCCTCGAGAAGAGCAACTCCAAGACAAATAATTATCAGATTCACCAAAGTTGAAATGAAGGAAAAAATGTTAAGGGCAGCCAGAGAGAAAGGTCGGGTCACCAATGAAGGGAAGCAATTCAGACTAACAGCAGATCTCTCGGCAGAAACTCTACAAGCCAGAAAAGAGTGGGGGCCAATATTCAACATTCTTAAAGAAAAGAATTTTCAACCCAGAATTTCATAACCAGCCAAACTAAGCTTCATAAGTGAAGGAGAAATAAAATTCTTTACAGACAAACAAATGCTGAGAGATTTTGTCACCACTGGGCCTGCCTTACAAGAGCTCCTGAAGGAAGCACTAAACATGGAAAGGAACAACTGGTACCAGCCACTGTGAAAACATGCCAAATTGTAAAGACCATCAATGCTAGGAAGAAACTGCAACTAATGAGCAAAATAACCAGCTAACATCATAATGACAGGATCAAATTCACACATAGCCATATTAAACTTAAATGTAAATGGGCTAAATGCTCCAATTAAAAGACACAGATTGGCAAATTGGATAAAGAGTCAAGACCAATCAATGTGCCATATTCAGGAGACCCATCTCACATGCAGAGATACACATAGGCTCAAAATAAAGGGATAGAGGAAGATCTACCAAGCAAATGAAAAGCAACAACAAAAAAGCAGGGGTTGCAATTCTAGTCTCTGATAAAACAGACTTTAAACCAACAAAGATCAAAACACACAAAGAAGGCCATTACATAATGGTAAAGGGATCAATTTAACAAGAAGAGCTAACTACCGAAATATATATGCACCCAATACAGAAGCACCCAGATTCATAAAGCAAGTCCTCAGAGACCTACAAAGAGACTTAGACTCTCACACATTAATAATGGGAGATTTTAACACCCCACTGTCACATTAGACAGACACACGAGACAGAAAGTAAACAAGGATATCCAGGAATTGAACTCAGCTCTGCACCAAGCAGACCTAATAGATATCTACAGAACTCTCCACCCCAAATCAACAGAATATACATTCTTCTCAGCACCACATCACACTTATTCCAAAATTGACCACATAGTTGGAAGTAAAGCCCTCCTCAGCAAATGTAAAAGAACAGAAATTTTAACAAACTGTCTCTCAGACCACAGTGCAATCAAACTAGAACTCAGGATTAAGAAACTCACTTAAAACCGCTCAATTACATGGAAACTGAACAACATACTCCTGAATGACTACTGGGCACATAACGAAATGAAGGCAGAAATAAATATGTTCTTTGAAACCAATGAGAACAAAAACACAACATACCAGAATCTCTGAAACACATTTAAAGCAGTGTGTAGAGGGAAATTTATAGCAATAAATGCCCACAAGAGACAGCAGGAAAGATCTAAAATTGACACCCTAACATCACAATTAAAAGAACTAGAGAAGCAAGAGCAAACACATTCAAAAGCTAGCAGAAGGCAAGAAATAACTAAGATCAGAGCAGAACTGAAGGAGATAGAGACACAAAAAACCCTTCAAAAAAGCAATGAATCCAGGAGCAGGTTTTTTGAAAAGATCAACAAAATTGATAGACCACTAGCAAGACTAATAAAGAAGAAAAGAGAGAAGAATCAAGTAGACGCAATAAAAAAAAGATAAAGGGGATATCACCACCAAACCCACAGAAATACAAACTACCATCAGAGACTACTATAAACACCTCTACGCAAATAAACTAGAAAATCTAGAATAAATTGATAAATTCCTGGACACATACACTCTCCCAAGACTAAACCAGGAAGAAGTTGAATCTCTGAATAGACAAATAACAGGCTCTGAAATTGAGGCAATAATTAATAGCCTACCAACCAAAAAATCCAGGAGCAGACAGATTCACAGCTGAATTCTACCAGAGGTACAAGGAGGAGCTGGTACCATTCCTTCTGAAACTATTCCAATCAATAGAAAAAGAGGGAATCCTCCCTAATTCATTTTATGAGGCCAACATCATCCTGATACCAAAGCCTGGCAGAGACACAACAAAAAGAGAGAATTTTAGACCAATATGCCTGATGAACATCGATGCCAAAATCATTAATAAGATACTGGCAAACCAAATCCAGCAGCACATCTAAAAGCTTACCCACCACGATCAAGTTGGCTTCATCCCTGGGATGCAAGGCTGGTTCAACATACACAAATCAATAAATGTAATCCAGCATATAAACAGAACCAAAGACAAAAACCACATGATTATCTCAATAGATGCAGAAAAGGCTGTCAACAAAATTCAACAGCCCTTCATGCTAAAAACTCTCAATAAACTAGGTATTGATGGGATGCATCTCAAAATAATAAGAGCTATTTATGACAAACCCACAGCCAATATCATACTGAATGGGCAAAAACTGGAAGCATTCCTTTTGAAAACTGGCACAAGACAGGGATGCCCTCTCTCACCACTCCTATTCAACACAGTATTGGAAGTTCTGGCCAGGGCAATCAGGAAAGAGAAAGAAATAAAGGGCATTCAATTAGGAAAAGAGGAAGTCAAATTGTCCCTGTTTGCAGATGGCATGATTGTATATTTAGAAAAACCCATCGTCTCAGCCCAAAATCTCCTTAAGCTGATAAGCAACTTCAGCAAAGTCTCAGGATACAAAATCAATGTGCAAAAATCACAAGCATTCCTCTACACCGATAACAGACAAACAGACAGCCAAATAATGAGTGAACTCCCATTCACAATTGCTTCAAAGAGAATAAAATACCTAGGAATCCAACTTACAAGGGATGTGAAGGACCTCTTCAAGGAGAACTACAAACCACTGCTTAACGAAATTAAAGAGGACACAAACAAATGGAAGAACATTCATGCTCATGGATAGGAAGAATCAATATTGTCAAAATGGCCATACTGCCCAAGGTAATTTAAAGATTCAATGCCATCCCCATCAAGCTACTGATGACTTTCTTCACAGAATTGGAAAAAACTACTTTAAATTTCATACGGAACCAAAAAAGAGCCCGCATTGCCAAGTCAATCCTAAGCCAAAAGAACAAAGCTGGAGGCATCACGCTACCTGATTCAAACTATACTACAAGGCTACAGTAACCAAAACAACATGGTACTAGTATCAAAACAGAGACATAGACCAATGGAACAGAATAGAGCCCCCCGGAAGTAATACTACACATCTACAACTATCTGATCTTTGACAAACCTGACAAAAACAAGAAATGGGGAAAAGACTCCCTATTTAATGAATGGTGCTGGGAAAACTGGCTAGCCATATGTAGAAAGCTGAAACTGGATCACTTCCTTACAACTTACACAAAAATTAATTCAAGATGGATTAAATACTTCAATGTTAGACCTAAAACCATAAAAACCCTAGAAGAAAACCTAGGCAATACCATTCAGGATATAGGCATGGGCAAGGACTTCATGACTAAAACACCAAAAGCAATGGCAATAAAAACCAAAACAGAGAAATGAGATGTAATTAAACTAAAGAGCTTCCGCACAGCAAAAGAAACTACCATCAGAGTGAAGAGGCAACCTACAGAATGGGAGAAAATTTTTGCAATCTACCCATCTGACAAAGGGCTAATATCCAGAATCTACGAAGAACTTAAGCAAATTTACAAGAAAGAATCAACCCCATCAAAAAGTGGGCAAAGGTTATGAACAGACACTTCTCAAAAGAAGACATTTATGCAGCCAACAGACGCATGAAAAAATGCTCATCATCACTGGCCATCAGAGAAATGCAAATCAAAACCACAATGAGATACCATCTCACACCAGTTAGAATGGCGATCATTAAAAAGTCAGGAACAACAGGTGCTGGAGAGGATGTGGAAAAGTAGGAATGCTTTTACACTGTTGGTGGGACTGTATACTAGTTCAACCATTGTGGAAGACAGTGCGGCGATTCCTCAAGGATCTAGAACTAGAAAAAACATTTGACCCAGCCATCCCATTACTGGGCATATACCCAAAGGATTATAAAACATGCTGCTATAAAGACACATGCACATGTATGTTTATTGCATTTATTGTGGCACTATTCACAATAGCAAAGACTTGGAACCAACCCAAATGTCCAACAATGATAAACTGGATTAAGAAAATGTGGCACATATACACCATGGAATACTAAGCAGCCATGAAAAATAATGAGTTCATGTCCTTTGTAGGGACATGGATGAAGCTGGAAACCATCATTCTCAGCAAACTATCACAAGGACAAAAAACCAAACACCACATGTTCTCACTTATAGGTGGGAATTGAACAATGAGAACACATGGATACAGGAAGGGGAACATCACACACCGGGGCCTGTTGTGGGGTTGGGGTAGGGAGGAGGGATAGCATTAGGAGTTATACCTAATGTAAACAAGGAGTTAATGGGTACAGCACACCAACATGGCACATGTATAAATATGTAACAAACTGCACATTGTGCACTTGTACCCTAGAACTTAAAGTATAATTAAAAAAATGAAATATGAGTAAACTATTGAACATGCTTTATCTGTGATGAGACCATAAAAACTCAGAGTTGGATGTTTAGCTGAAATAATCAGATAAATATTCAACTCAGTTTCAGGGTTTGTTTGATTGTTAAAGGTGGTGGTAGGGGGTGTTAAAGGGATTAAACATGGAAAAAGCTATTGCATGATATAATTTGGTGGGGGGAAATTTGAAGCATAACATACTAAAATCTCACCATGATACCTGCCCAATCATCATGGCTTACACCCTTCTTTGTGATTCTACAGTACCCATTTTAGTAATTTTACACAACTCATGCCAATCTCTGCTTGATTTAATAAATATAAGTTACCTATATGTTGGCAGAGCATAAAACTTAAAAACATAAATTCATTAATAGAATTAAACACTAATGAACTTGATCTTCCCACTCAATGGAGGAATTAGATTTATGAAGCTAAAAGACATGCAGTATCCCTTTATGTATAAATATCTAAGGCCATCTGTGTTTCAACCATGAAAGAGGATAAGTTGAAGGAAAAAGAAAGTCAGGAGCAGGTAGCCGTACAATCAACAATTCTGCAAATTCTTTTTCGTAGTTAATATTTATTCATCTTTCTTAGATTAAAAGTATTCTGTATATTACCAAGGAAATAGCAGTAAACAAAGCCGAGAGGATGCCAACACTCAAATCTTATAAAGGCTCTCCCTTATAAATGTTTCCTCACATTTACTCTGAAGTTATCTATAAATGTCTATGTTCAATAACCTCATTAAGAAAACGTTATTAGATGGATACAAATTGAGAGAAAGAGAAAACTTTCGACATTATCACTGGTTTCAGGGAAAAGCCTAGGTAACCTTGTTGACTATCAGGCTTGACAATTCTAGGATCTCCAGGAAACGATATTTTTCAGTCATACTATATTAATTGTGTGTGTGTGTATATATATATATATATACACACACACACGTATATATACACACACAATATATGTATATATAAAATATATGTATATATAATATATATGTATATATAAAATATGTGTATACATAATATATGTATATATAAAATATATTTATATATAATACATATGTATATATATGTGTGTATATATATACAATTGTGTATATATATACACAATTGTGTGTGTATATATAGAGATATATATATATATAATAGCAAGTCAATCAGGAATGTCAATAAATAATTGTTGTAGTATCAAGAGAGATCACAGAAAAATAATCTCCTGACTGTAATACTGTGGATTTTGTAAAACACAGATGCAACAGAAGGCTTGAGGGTAAAGATCGAATGGTTGTGTGTACTGAACCTTTATGCCCATTGATTAGTAACTCCTCATTTCTCTTTTCTCCCAGTAACTGGCAATCACCATTCCAATCTTTGATCCTTTAAATGTGGCTATTTTAGATACCTCATATAAGGGCAATTATGCATTAATATTCTTTTTGTGTCTGGCTTATTTCCTTAGAGTAATGTTCTTAAAGTTCATTCATGTTGCCATGTGAATGTGACATGTCACATTGTGTGTATGTGAGAGAGTGTGTGTGTGTGTGTGTGTGTGTGTGTGGTGGTGGTGGTGGTGGTGGTGGTGGTGGGACAAGCATTTAGTTTTTAACCAAAAGCTGAGGATTTTCAAATGTTCATACAATATCCCCAAGGTATTTAAGAAGAGATGATTAACAAACATCTAAATTAATGCTAATGATTATGAATAAATGACTTTTAATGTATTTTTAAAGTTAGAATTTTGTGAAAATACTTTAGAATTTAGTTAATGAAGTTTTATATATATAATATTTTATACTGGACATTAGGCTAAGCAGTTTTACATTAATTTTCTTATGTAATCCTCCATATAATCCTATAAATTACATATTATTATTCCAATTTCATATAAAAGGGAATTGAGGCTTAGAGAAATTAAATAATTTAGCCAAGGTCATGTTAGTAGTACGTGGTAGAGCCTGTATTCCAACACGAGCAAGCAGAATACATTAAAAAAAAAAAAGGAATGAACTATGACTAGAGGTATGCAAAACTACAGTACAAACTACCAAGAAATTACCAATCATGATGATACAATTTTGGCTTAAAAATACTTCTGTGTTAAAAATGTTATGTTATTGTGGTAAGAACATTTAACATGAAATGTGTCCTGTTAACAGATTTTTAACTGTATAATGCATTATTGTTGACTATAGGTACAACATTTTATAGACCTCTAGAGCTTATTCATCTTGCTTTACTGAAACTTTATGCCCATTGATTATTAACTCCTCATTTACCTTTTCTCCCAGCCCCTGGCAATCACCATTCCAATCTTTGATTATATAAATTTGGCTATTTTAAATACCTCATATAAGGGCAATTAGGCATTATGATTCTTTCTGTGTCTGGCCTATTCCCTTGGAGTAATGCTTATAAAGTTCATTCACATTGTCACATACTGCAGAATTTTCTTCTGTTTTAAGGCTGAGTCATACTCTCTTATATGCATATATCACACTATTTTTATCTACTCATCTACCAGTGGACATTTAGTTTGTTTCCATATCTTGGCCATTATAAATAGTACTGCAATATGTATAGGAATACTAATACTTCTTCAAAACCTTGATTTCAATTATTTTGGGTAAATATTTAGATGTGGAATTGCTGAATCAAATTGTTAAAATGTTCATAATTAAAAATGACCCTAAAAATACTTTAAATTGTATACAAAATCCTAAAATATAATCAGAGTAGATTATATGTGCTTATAAATTATATAGATATACAGCAAGATAGATTTATAGATATATGTATATAAGTATAGACATCTATATATAGAAATCTAGGTATATAATATATAAATATTATAAAAATAGAGAATATAGATTATATAGAATAACTTATGCTTCTTGTCACTCTTGTCTCTTGTAATATTTATAGATTATATAGAATAACTTATGTGTGTTATTTTCTTGTCACTTGTAATATTTAACAAGTAGGTAATAAAACACTACATATCTTCTCTATATTTTCATACAAATATTATCCTAACTGTAGTACAAAACTTGCATAAGACAAACATACAGAAATGCAATACTTTCAAAACATAATGTGAAACATCTTTCACACATACTAATACAATATTCAAGCCATATATTCAGTGGCTGCTGACTCAGGATAAATGATAATAAAAATGGTAGTAACTATTTAATTCTTAGCTTTATCCAAGTCTGTTGAAACAATGCACAACCCCTTTCCCCTCTTTTTTCTTTCTGGGATGACTTTTACATATATGTATGAAATATTTTTTGTTGGACTACTGAACATGAGGTCTTATTCATTTTTCTTTTTCCCCATCTGTGCTTCAGTTTTAACATTTTCTATTGACCCATCTTCTAGTTTACAGATGTTTTCTTCTAAAGTATCCCATCTACTTTTTATGCCTATCTGATAATTTTCTAAAAAATACTGGGAATTTTCAAGTTCTATAATTTTCATTTTTTTATACTTCCAACTTTCTCCTCGACGTTTTTCATCTATTTCAATATAATGTTCATCTGTTACTTCAAATCACTGAATATATTTACAATAGCTCTTCTAAGATATTGTCAGCCAAATCCAACATTTAGATATATTTCTATGGGGTTTTTCTTCTATTTATGCTTCAGACTCTTCTGCCGCTTTGTGTGTGTGTGTGTGTGTATATATATATATTTAAGTTTTATGCTGACATCATAAATTTTACATTGATGAGACTTTAAATTATGTTGTCCTTCTAAGGAAAGTATTCTTTTTTAAATTCATAAAGCAATTAATTTACTGACTGCTCAAAATGATGTTTTAGGAGTTTTGTTTTGTGATTCTTAGAGCATGTTAGAATTGTTCTTATTCTGGAGCAAGATTAGGTCACTTCAGATGTTTGGCCTATTTGTCGTCTCAACTGCTTCAGTGAGCTTTTTGTGAAATTTCTAAACACTGAATGGTTGTAACTTCTGTGTCTCCTAGAATTATGTGAACTTCTGAATGTCCATTTAACTCACAGTTCTTCAGTAGCTGATTCTTCCAGAGATCACATTTTATTTTGTTTTGTACATATACAGCTATGTACTTGGACAAATGCTTGGAGAGACTTCTATGCAGATTCTAGTGTGCTCCCTTTTTGCTCTCTTCAGAATCCTGATTTGCATATTTGAGCAATCTCCACAGTACTAATCTCTGCCACATGCTTTTTATGCCAGTGGAATTGCCAATCTGTTAGGATTTCACCCCTCTGTGCTGTTGTATGAAATTGGTTCTAAGGCAGAAAGCCCAGGCATGTGGAGCTCCCATTATATATTTCCCTTATCAAATGAATCAAAGACTTGCAATATTTGTTGTCCAAGACCTGAAAACAGTTGTTTTCCATGACGGGTTTAGTTTTATCATTGTTTATGGTAGTAGGGGAAATTCTGATGTTCATTTTTCCAGCATAGGTAGAACCAGAACTGCCCATGTTACTAAACTTAAACTGTAAATAAATAAATAAATAAACTAATTAAAAATACTCATAACATACACCTGGCTTACAAGCTTCCATGCTTTTCTACTCGTAGTGCTTTATTTCACTCATCTTTGTCAATGCCAAACTGTGGCCTCTCTCAAGGAAAACCTTCATATGCCTTCTGTGATTAATCCATTCTATTTTGTATGTAAATTCTTATGTCTATTCTTTACAACCTATTTTGAAGTAATCTCATACTGTTCATTGATGTGACTTACACTGTTTTACTACATTAAAATATATTCTATTAATTTCTCAATTATGTTCATGTGGTTATATTTTCCTTTTATGGGAATTAAAGTCTACATTTATATGTTTTCTTTCAATAACTATAAAGTAATACTCAAACATTATCTTACCAAAATATTCGATGATTAACTTTAATTTCAATACTCATAAACAGT
This sequence comes from Homo sapiens, assembly GCF_000001405.40. Taxonomy (NCBI): domain Eukaryota; kingdom Metazoa; phylum Chordata; class Mammalia; order Primates; family Hominidae; genus Homo; species Homo sapiens. The sequence goes on along the minus strand of NC_000013.11, from coordinate 87,357,781 downwards.
AATTTTTAATCATAAATATATAAAATTAATGAAACCACATATTTAAAATCGATTTTTAGTTTTATAATTGCTTAGTGTTATTTATTCAGCATTATTAGATATGTTAGGTAAATAAATAATTTTGAATTGTTAGCAATGAAAATTTACTACACTAAATATCTTTATTTTTTAAGATATAGAAACTTAGACTGAGGGAAGTTTAATGATATCAAAGACCAGACATCGTCTTAAACACTGCATTAGAGTTCACCCACTTGTTTTCGGACTTCTAATTGAATGCTCTTTGTACTAAACAGTCTGAGTGTGCACTTTCCATGTGATTTATAAAGAAACAGAAAATTTTTAAAACCTGGTTCATGAAAAGTATGCAATCAATTCAAATAATTGAAGCAATAGAACACAAAATCATTTACTGAATTTCTTTTGAGTTAACTTTATAACAATTTCTGAACAGTTTGAACTTTAGGGATACATACAAAAAACAAAAATAAGAAATAATTTTATTTTTCTTCACTTACCCCACTCTGCTGTGAGTACTTTTGCTTCTTTATTGAGTAGAAGATCTTATTGTAACAGCACTGACTCCATTTTGAATCCCTGCCATGTTACAGGAAAAAATTTGCTTGAGTTTTAATTACTTCTTTGCTTAAGTTTGTAGATTACTCATTAAGAATATAACAATCTCAGAACAATAGGACCTTCAACATAAATAAAAGGGAAATATGCTGACCAGAAATTCCGGCAACAGACTGACCAGCAGTTTTAGCCACAACTAGATAAAAACAGCCTAACAATGCCAGCAAAGGTCCCAAGACATAGACCAAGACAGCAAGGACTGACTGCCTGCCTGAGATTGCACACGTAGCTCCTCCACAAGGACACTCTGATTATGACTTACACTTATCCTGATTTCCCGTAAAAACTCTTGGTCCAGAGCTACAATTCAGAGAGGTAGTCTTGAAACAAGGTCACTAATTTCCCAACTTGCCTGCTTCCCTAATAAAGCTAACTTTCCTTCTTACCAACACTTGTCTCTTGAGCATTGGTTGTTCAGGTGTCAAGTGTCCCGAACCTGAGTTTGGTTACAATATTTGGTGAGCTAGTCCGGAGTCTCATGCTCCCTGAGCTGTTTGCTCAGCTCCCAACAGATGAAGCAATTGGCCGCAGCAGTGCACCAGGGCTACCTTGTTCAGGTTACCGAGAGGCTCATTTAGATTCCCAATGGGTGGAGCAGTTGACTGTGGCAGCACGTATGGGCTAACCCTCTCTTGCTACCAGAGGTTAGCAGCAAGCCTTCAGTAACACCAGCTACTTGTGGTTGGCCACGCCTGACACAGGCAAACTGCCAAGACTCTTTTACACTTTGGGGAAACGCCCTTCTTTCCCTCAATTGACGCCAGCTGCCTATTTTCACTTCGAGCTGGTAAATGGTAACAAGCTCTCTAGATGAGCTGACCAGCTCTATAACAAGCTACATCCACCAGTGTGAACACCAGGGGTCCTCTTTCCTTACCATTTGGGCCTTTGGGGCCATTTGTGGTACCGTTGGTAGAAGAAACAACTTGTAGTGACTCCGTGCTGGTCTCCTCCCTTGAAGAAGATGGTGTTTGGGAAGCACTTCATTTGTTTTGATTGTGTGTTGTTTTCTTGTTACCATGGGAGGTATTTTGTAGATTCTGTCTCAAAGAAAAAGCATATTAGCTAACTGGTCAGCCTATAGCTATGACCTTGGGACAAAGGAAAAAACAACAACAAAAAAAATGGCATTTTGTTGTAATACAACATGGCAGATGCATGTGTTAGAAGAGAGGTGGCCTTTAGGGTTTTTGAACTTTTATACAGTCTTACAGCTTGAACAGTTTTATCAAAGATCAGGTAAATGGAAAAAAATACTTATGCTCACGTGTTTATTCTATCATGTAATAAAGATGCTTCCCAGAAAGGTTCCCAGTTAGTGGTGCAAAGAGGACTGCATAAAGTGAAATCTCATTGGCCTCTACTGCCTGAGGAAGATACAGAAGGGAAAAAGAAGTATGTTGGGAAAAAGCCAAGTGTTGAGAAAAAAACTGAGGCAAGGCTTGCGTGTCTGACATAATGTCCTCTGGAATGTGTCTAGACTTGCCGGCTCCTTGCTTCTAGCCTTCCTAGGCTCCCAGATCGATTGTATTCCCATTATCTCGAGTAGAAGAACATGTTCCATATAAATGCTAAACCGTCACAGCTGTAGATCATGTGCCTGCCCTTTTGACGCCCCACATTCTCACCACCTGTTTCTATGTTGAATTACCAATAAATAGTGTGGGCTCCCAGAGCTTGGGGCCTTAGCAGCTTCCATACACTAGCGATGGCCCCCTGGTCCCACTTTACTTCTGAAACTGTCTTTTTCTCAATCCTTTGGCTCTGTCGGACTTTGTTGCCCCCATGACCTGGTGTTGGGTCTGATCATCCCAACAGAAGCAGGAGGATAGGATAATTTTGTTAGCCTTAAACTCGCCACAGGGAAATGATGCTGTGGTGTTGCAAGTGCCTTCCCTGGTGCTGCCTGCTCTGGCACCTGTGCAGGTTCCCACGCTGACCCTGCCAGCGTTGTACACTGAACTGCTCCTTCCTCTACCCACTCCCCCAGAAGACTATTTAAATAATCCATATTTACAAGAAGCAGTGTCCCCTCGACATTATGCAAGCAGGCTGGAGACAGTCTCCTCTTTTAAGACCTGACTGGGTCTTAAATGCACAAGGCCAATGGGTCTCCCCTTTTAAGATCCAACAGGAGTTAAATGCACATGGCCAACCCATGGGATTTTGGGGATTACATTCACCTTTCTCCACTTTAGACTTAGTAAACTAAAAATAATATAAGCCCTTCCTACAGAGATGACCCATAGCACATGGCTGAATTATGTACCAGTATATTCTCCACATATTTCCTCACTTAGGTGGACATTCAAACACCATTAAATTTCATGATAATGGCTGGTAAAAGGAGACAAGTCCTAGACAAAGCCAATGATGAGGTCAGGCAGCTACTTCAGAAAGACCCTTCTAGGACCCCTGATCCCCCACAGGGACGACTCTCTTAATGGAGCTCAATTGCGACCATAACAATGGGGAATGCCAAGACTAGAATACTACTAAAAACATGTTTTGATGGGACTGAGTAAAGGAGTACCCGAGAAGCGTAGCATCAGCAAAATCCATGATCTCCAACAGGAGGCTAATGAAAATTCAGCCTCTTGGCTGGAACGAATATATCGGGCTTATAAAAAAATACTCAGGTATGGATCTAGAGGCCCCAGAAAATATTTGGACAGTCAATCTGACTTTCATCAGCCAAAGCACTTCAGGTATCAAAAGGAAATTGAAAAAATCAGAAAGAATAAACCCTTCTCTATTGGTAGAAATTGCTTACAAACTTTTCAATGCCAGAAAAACAAGAGCCAGACAAGTGCCCACTCTTGTAGAAAGCATTCAGAAAAATAAAAGAGGGCCTGAGAAGAGTAAGGGACAAAACAGAATAGGACTCCCAGGCAAAGATCAATGTGCCTACTGCTGGGGATCTGGGCATTAAAAGAATGATTGCTACAGGCTAAAAGGGAAAGATGACAGTAGAAAAAGGATAAGAGAGAAAAAGAAAAAAAAAATAGGAAGCAAAGAAACAGACAAGTAGATTGTGGCTCTGATAAGACTGAGGAGGCTCAGGTGTTTTCCTTGATATAATGGAGCCAATGATCATTTCCCCACAGAAGCCCTGGGTACGAATGACATTGAAGTATAAAATAATCGACTTCTTAGTTAATACTGAAGCAACTTCAGTTTAAATAATAAATTAACTAAAAGTACACAAGATATAGTGCCAGTGGCAGGAGTCAACAGAAAACTGGAGCAAATACCTTTCCCTCAGCCTTTAGAATCCAAATTGGGAGACATAAAGTTAAGACCTAGTTTTTTTAAAATATGCCTAATTGCCCTGTTCTGTCGTTGGAATGACAATTACTATGCTAAACTAAATGCTTAAGTAAAATTTTCTCCTAAAAAACAACATCTAAGGACCCAGATCCCACCCAAAAAGGCCTTGTGTTTGCAGACATTGATGACTCAGCCTAAAAACAAGACCCAAGAATTGTTTCCACCTGAAGTCTACTATGGAATAAGCAATACTGTTTGGGCCGATGGAGAATCCAGATGAGCTACTAGAGTTCAGATGGTCTGCATTACATTAAAAGAAGGAGATACAATCCCACATAAAAACAAACAAACAAACAAGAAAGCAGCATCCTCTGAAAAGGGAAGCATTAGAAGGCACTCTGCCAGTATTACAAAGGTATTACTTTCGAAGTATGAGCTTATTCAACCATGTCTCTCTCTATCCAATACTCCTATTTTCCCAGTAAAATAACGACATTCAAATGAATATCAATTTGTGCAATGCTCAAGAACAATTAATGATATCATTCAAGATATCCATCCAACAGTACATAACCCATACACCCAAGTCACTATTATCCCAGGAGATTATGGCTGGTTCTCAGTATGAGACTTCAAAGATACTGTCTTCTGCATACCAGTTAAAGAAAACCCCAATTCCTGTTTGCCTTTAAATGGCATGATCCAAAAGCTAAGACAATTTTCCAATATTACTATGCTATATTACTCCAAGGATTTAAAAATGCCCCCACCATTTTCGGGGAAATTTCGGCTAAAAATCTGAGTGACCTACAGTTAAACCGAAGGGTAGTATTACAGTGTGTATATGGCTTACTAATTGCCAGCCCCACTTATAAAGACTTCCTGGAAAACACATTACTGGATTTAAATAACCTGGCTGAATGGGGTTATAAAGTGGCCCCACGTAAGGTCCAAATATGCAAAAAAGACATCGTCAACTTGGGGTTCCACCTACAACAAGGTAAGCAGTCTTATGACTGATAAGAAACAGGCAGTAGCTGCCATTAAAGCCCTCCCCAAAACAGAAACAAGTAAGAGAATTCTTGGGGATGGTTCACTTTTTTTGACATTTAGATTTCTAACTTTGGACTCACAGCAAAACCCTTGTATGATGCTTTAAAATGACTGGGTCAGAACCCTTGCATTAGACAATGAAATGCCAAAATACATTTTATAATATAAATAAAAAATTAACATTAGTGTTTGCCTTGGGGCTCCCTGACCCCCAAAGCCCTTTCCCCTGTAAGTACATTAAAAAAGAGAATTGAACTAGGAATTCTGACCCAGAAACTTGGGGAAAAACTGTAACCTATTGTATATTTTTTGAAACAGAATAAACAGCCAAAGGATGGCCTCCCTGCCAGAGGGCAGTAGCTGCCACATGTGACTTATTACAAGAAACCAACAAATGTACTCTACGACAACCCATAACTGTGTATGTTCCCCATCAAGTGTTAACCCTATTTAAAAAAAGGAGATAACTGCTGGGCGTATGGGCAAATGTCAGGCCATTTTTCTGGATAATCCTAATACCACCCTCCAAACCACTGCAACCCTAATCCCCACAACACTGCTCCTTGGCAGTTCAGTGCAAGACACAGAGCCTAAGCATAACAGTTTATAAATAAATCAAGTCGTTTATTCCAGCCACCTAGACTTGTGTGATCAGCTGATAACAACTCCAGACTAGAAATTGTTCACCGATGACAGCAGTTTCATGAAAAATAGACACCATTGAGCAGGGTATACACTGACCACTCTGGAACAAATAATCAAAGCCCCTGCACTTCCCCCTGGTACATCCCCCCAAAAAGTAGAATGAATAACCCTTACCAGAGCCTTAACTTTATCCCAAAGGAAAGAGGAGAGCTGCACAGACTCTAGATATGCCTTCATGGTAATACAAGCACATGGGGCAATATAGAAAAAAAGAGATTTGCTAACCTCTAATAACAAAAATATTAAATATCCTAATAAAATACTGAATGCTAAAGGTGGTGCTGCTACCATCTAACATGGCGGTTACATATTGCTTAAGTTAAACTATCTTAATCTTTGCCAATAATACATAAAAAACTGATTGTTAGATTTGCCATTCCAACCACTACTCAGTATATGACATGTGGGACCATTTAGTATGTCGCGTATACCATAAAAAACCAAGAGTTACATATATTGTCAGAATCACTCATTTCACCTCTGAAAAGACACAATCCCTCATGCCTTTCCAGGTGGGTAAAAACTAATGCCAATTAAACAAGCTACACATTGACTCCAACACCAGGGAAGACCCTCCCCCTCTAAAACCAAGAACCTGTAATCATATCCATAACAGATGATTTAATAGATTTCCCTGGAAATACTTGGGGAAAACAATACAGCCATTTAGATTAGTAAAACAAATGAGTATATGTTTTGCCCCCTGGAAGATATATATTAATATAACTTCCTGATTGAGTACCATGGGCATATCATTGCTTGTAAAATGACACACATTCAGGATAATGCCTAATAGACATGTTAATAACTCCTTTCACCCTTCACGCTCCTAAAAAAATAAAAAAACACAATAAAGACATTGGACAAGCTCTCTCAAGACTTGAAAGACTTTCTTTCTGACCATATACCCATATACCTTCAGAACCCATGTACTTCTTTGGGTACTCTTTTCTGCCTTCATGGGGGAATGGCTTTATATTATCATGAACTGATAAATCTACCCAGGACTTTAATCGTAATTGCTACTGGAGCCACTAAGTCTCTTGCAAACTTACAAAACTTAGTAGATCCATTAATACAAGTAGTGCTAAATAACAGAATAGTCCTAGACTATATTTTAACAGAACGAGATGGTGTTTGTGTTGTTACTAATTCCTCCTGTTGCATATATATCAGTACTTCCTCTCAAGTAGAAACAAACATTTAAAAAGTTAGAGAGCAAGTGATCTGATTACAACAAACTCTAAACCATTATATCTCCTTGTTTGGAGGAGGCTGGGATTTGTTTTTTAGCCTATTCTCTGAACAAAATATCAGCATGATACTATCTGCTGAACTAAAATCAGCATGACAGAAAATTTTTAAATTAAAATGAACAATTCTGCTAATAACTACTGATATATTCTTAAGATTTAAATTGGTAATGTTATGCTTTATCAAAAAGGTCAACAATGCCATTAATGAAAAGTTAACTCTGATTTCTCACCTACCACAGAAAAGAACAAAAACTCTGTATGACACCATGTCAAAACCTTCCAACTAAAATACCCACTATGTCCCAGTTCAGCAGAAGTAGTTACAGAAGATGAGACCTTTGCCCATTTTCTATAGATATGGAAAGATACATTGGCAGTGGGGAGTTTGTAACAACACTGACTCCATTTTGAACGTCCACCATGTTAAAGAAAAAATTTTGCTTATTTGAGTTTTAATTACTGCTTTGCCTAAGTCTGTAGATTATTCACTAAGAACAGAACAATCTCAGAAAAACGGGACCTTTGACACAGATTAAGAGAAATACGCTGACCAGCAATTTCGGGGGCAGACTGGCCAGCAGTCTAGGCTGCTACTAGGTAAGAAGAGCCTAGCGCCAGCAAAAGGTCACAAGACTCTGACCAAGACAGAGAAGATTCACTGCCTGCCTGAGATTGCACATGTAGCTCCTGCCACAAGAAGACTTTGATCACCACTTGCTCTTCCCCTGATTTCCCTGATAAACTCTGGTATGGAGCCACCATTTGAAGAGGTAGCCTTTGCATGTGAGTTCACTATCTTCCCAGGTTGCTGGCTTCCCTAATAAAGGTAACTTTTCTTCTTGCCAACACTTGTTTCTTGAGCATTGATTTTCCAAGCAGCAAGAGGCTGGAAATGAAGTTCAGTTACCTTATCAATAATGCAGGCAGATATCATAATTTTCCACATGATTTATTTATTTTTTTAAATACTTCAGTTGATTCTAGTTCTAAACTTTAATCTCATATACAATTTAAATATAATCTCTTCTCCACAGCATTGATAATTGAGATGTGTGCAGAGTATGGTCTTTTATTTCTTCTCTTTTTTCTGCAGCCTTTAGAGGAGGGTACATTATCTGTACCTGGAACATTCCTTTCCCCTTCATTCTCTAGGTCAATGGAGTTCAGACACAGAAGGGAGGAAAAAAAAAAAAAAGGAGGTGCCTTTTGATTACCTAAACTTTTTCTGTCCTTTCTATGTTAATTGTAAACATTTCTGGCTCTATTTCCTTTGTGCAGAAGACAAGAAATGCTGATTATCTTGAGAGAAGGGTGTGAATGATTTTGGAGTCTCCTAATAAGGCCTTCAAAGTCATGTTTTCTTGATTTGCAGATTCTGATGTATTTTATCTCTCCACTTACCTCAACTTCCACCCTCACATCTCATATCCCACCTAGACACTTACTATTCTCTTTGATAGCATACCAGTAAGATATCAAATGGGTACAACATTAGGAAAACTCTGAAGATTAAATAATGTAATTGAGAAAGAAACCCAGAACACAAAAAAACTGTCCCTATAAATTAGTTTATTTCAAAAAGTTTAAAACCAGGTTTTTCAGTAATTGTTGAAGCTAAACACAAATTATTTTAGTGTCTCAAAACTAAAGCAACTTTACTGAATATGAAAAAAATAGTCTCCACAAGAAGAGCTTTGTACTCTTTTAGACTTTTTAATCAAATTGTCATTGAAAATAACTTTTTTTCATAACTTATGTTCACTCATTTAACATGATCATGATCATCATAACAAATTATCTCTCATATTTGTTGAAAGGTTTCATGGAAACTAAATGAACTGGACTTCTTGTGTAAACATAGTCTCTATGTGGCCTGTAGTCTCCACCCATTAAAAGGATAAGGAAAGGAGGAGATGTCCCTGACCACTCAGAACGTATTTCTTTTTCTCTACATTGTGATAGTTAAATGTATTATTACTGTCAAATTTTAGTGACTGGATAGTATATTTCTTCACTTTTCCTCATATCTGAAACAGTATGGAGGAAACTGTGGATCTCTATTAATTATTTGTTAATTTGAAGTTAATCTTGAAATGGAAATCATCTTGTGATTTTACACTGTTTTTTGATCATAGGGAAGAATTATATATGTTATCTATCTATCCATATATATAGATCAAATTGATATTAAAGATAATAGAAATGAGGTAGTTTGGTTTTAAAGAGCAAGGTTATGTCCATCAGAAGATCTAGATAAACTATCTTCAGTTAGTCACTACACACTTATTTTCTAAGTTAACTATCCTTTAGAAAATCTCCTGGCTTTTACCATATCTATATTATATCAATTTGTATCTATGTATCTAGCTAGTTAGCTATCTTCCTATCTCTATCCCTCTACCTATCTGTGTATCTTTCATTGATATTGTAAAAGTAGATATTCCTCTGGTGGTATGATTGTTTAATTCTAGGGGGAAAAAAAATCCCCCAGTATATTCTTTCTTCTTTGCCACAATCAATATAACCAGTGGAAAATGCCAAACTATGAATTTAGCATTAAATTAAGCAAGGAACTAAGCTGAGGTGTTAGTAATAAAGAAGACAACCTAAATAACACTGAAGGATAAAGTAGCCAATATACTATAACAACCAGTGAATGCCAAGTATCTATTCCTTGGCTCTTTCTTGCCAGAGAACCATAGCTTTTGGATATTTACAAAGCTTCTGAATAAATGCAAACCAATAGTGCACATATGAAATGAGAAAATGATTCACTTCTTTCCATATAAACTATTAATTAACTTGAATAATGAGAACTCAGAGCCGGGATTTTTACCATTTTTTTTTCCATTTGAATGTCGAAGACACTTTTTTCTCTTCTTAAAATGCTTTAAACTGTATTTATAAAAAAAATGTCGGCCGGGCGCGATGGCTCACGCCTGTAATCCCAGCACTTTGGGAGGCCGAGGCGGGCAGATCACAAGATCAGGAGATCGAGACCATCCTGGCTACCACGGTGAAACCCCGTATCTACTAAAAAAAATACAAAAAATTAGCCAGGCGTGGTGGCGGGCTCCTGTAGTCCCAGCTACTCGGGAGGCTGAGGCAGGAGAATGGCGTGAACCCAGGAGGAGGAGCTTGCAGTGAGCCGAGATTGCGCCACTGCACTGCAGCCTGGGCGACACAGCAAAACTCCATCTCAAAAAAAAAAAAAAAAAAAAAAAAAAAAAAAAAAAAAAAAAAAAAAAGTCTTATTTTTATTATTTAAAAAAGGAAGTTTAGGATTTTTTTCTTAACTCTGTGAATAATGATTTGGTAGTTTGACAGGAATTGTGTTCAATCTGTATATTGCTTTGGGCAGTATGGTCATTTTAATGATATTGATTCTTCCAATCCATAAGCATGTGGTGTTTTTCTATTCGTTTATGACACCTATTTCTTTCTTTCATGTTTTGTAGTTCTCCTCATAGAGATCCTTCACCTCTTTGATTAGCTGTATTCCTAGGTATTTTATTTGTGTGTGTGTGGCTACTATGAATGGGATTGAGTTCTTGATTTTGTTCTCGGCTTGAACATATTATGTTGCATAAGAATACTAAGTGTGGACATTCTTGTCTTGTTCCAGTTCTTAGGAGGAATGTTTTCAACTTTTCTCTGTTCAGTATGATGTTGACTGAGTTTGTTGTATATGGTGTTATTATTCTGAGGTATATTCCTTTGATACCTAATTTGTTGAGGGTTTTTATCATGAAAGGATGTTCGATTTTGTCGAATACATTTTCTGCATCTATTGAGATAATCGTATGATTTTTAACTCTGTTTATGTGGTGAGTTACATTTATTCATTTGTGAATGTTGAACCATATTGTATCCCTGGAATAAAACCCATTTGATTCTAATAAATTATCCTTCTGATTTGCAACTGGATTTGGTTTGCTACTATTTTGCTGAGGATGGTAAGCATCTATTGCCATCAAAGATACTGGCTTGTAGTTTATTTTGTTGTTGTTGTGTCCTTACCTCATTTTTATATCAGAGTGATACTGGTTTCATAGAATGTGGTATGGAAAACAGTAAGGAAATTTCTCAAATAAGTAAATATAGAACTGTCATTTGATCCAGCAATCCCATTGGTAGGTATTTACCCAAAGGAAAAGAAACCATTATATAAAACAGCACCTGCACTGACATTTATCACAGCACTATTCACAATAGCAAAATCATGGAATCAACCTAAGTTTCTATCAATGGTTGATTGGATAAAGAAAATGTAGTATATCTACACCATGGAATACTATGCAGCCATAAAAAATTAAATCATATCCTTAGTAGCAACATGGATGGAGCTGGAGGCCATCATACCACATAAGTGAAATAACTCAGAAACAGAAAATCAAATACTTTATGTTCTCACGTATAAGTAGAAGCTAAACAATGGGTACACATAGACATAAAGATGAAAACAGTAGACATGGGATTCCAAAAGCAGGGATGTTGACAGAGGGTGAGGGATGAAGAACTATCTACTGGGTTCAATGGTCACTATTTGGGTGATGGGTACACTAGAATCCCAAACCCCACCATTACACAATATATCCAAGTAACACATTTGCACATGTACATGCTGAATCTAAAATAAAATATTTTAAAGATAATTTCCTTAATGATTAAAAAAGTGTTTTTCTATTATCCAAATACATGTAATATGCAAAGTATTCAGAGACCCTGCTAGCAGTACGGATTACCATAAATTAGGCAAATGAGAAAGAAGAAACACACTGATTTGATGCTTGGAAAAATGCAATAGATTTATAAGAGCTGAATAATTTGATACTCATGCTTATATGTTCTCTGTACCTTGCAATTTTAAACAGATACTCTGTTAGTGTCACCTAGCAAGAATACATAATTATCATTTCTATTGTGATGATTTTTAACATTTCAATAGTGTTAAAATGCTGAATATATATTTCTCCTGATTTTATGGTAATAGCAAAACAACTACCAACACAAATATGAAAGAATATTCTAATTACCTGAGTTGTGTGATGAATCATAAGCCAAACTGGTTTTCTTTTCTCTGATAACTACATGAGAATGTATAAGGCAGGAATGCCTAAAATCAGTGATAGATTGAAAGTTTATGAGCAGGAAAATGTGGAAACTAGAAAAGGTAAATCATGTTTTCTCAAATTCAGTTTATTCAGCTGTAAAATGATACCTTCAGGTTGAATGAAATGAACTTGCATGGTCTTTTTAGAGATAATGTGTAAAAGATAATTATTTCATAAGTATAGATCATAAGTCCTATACTTCTGACACAGAACACAACCAAACCCTTACCTTCACTTCTCTTAATTTTTCCATCCTTCTATATTGTATGTCTATTCTTCCTTTTTCTCCTACTATTATGTATATATAAACGAAAATTTACTTATAAACCCCAAAGAGGAACAATTTGTTCTTATGTTTTCTCAGCTTAAAAGCACTTGTTGAGCAGAATTTTGTTGATTTTTTTCTGCATGATAGCTTTAGTTTTAAAGATTCATTGTAAATTTTAATTTCAATGTAAGTGCAGATATTAAAGTATAATATATTAAAACGAAATATTTTTATTTTTTCCTAGATCTGGTTATGTATTGAAGCTCATTGTTTTCACCTCGGGAATTATTTATTTATATTCTATATTCCTACTATTTAAAAAAATAGCAGTGAATGATTTATTGCAAAGCATTTGTATGTTAGTAAGATATCTTGAAGTGTCCAACTCTGCACAGTGGAAGTGCTATTTGGACAAATCTGGAGGATTATGAGACATGAGTGAGAACTACAATCATTAACCATTAAAGACAGTAAGTTATACAGTATAAATAGAATAGGAGTTTTAAAATAGAGCATATAATTAATTACAGGAATTGTAATGAAATAAGTTTACTGCTTTATTGCCTTTCATAGGTTCTATGTTTACCAGGAACCAAAACACACTTAAAACTTTCATTCCTGTTACAAAACCACTTTAAATATATGACAGTCTTTTTAGACCAGAAATCACTTCACTAATTTGGAAAGAGAAACAAAGTTATGAACAATCTTAGGAAAATAAATGTTTATTTTGTCCAGATTAAAAGAACCTTTATCATTGTGAGCCAACCACTTCCCATTGTCCTTTCTTCTAATACTAAAAACCTAAGTTTCTTCTGGAAAACCATCTCGTGCCCTATTCTCAGTCTGCTGTTAGTGAAGACTGAGGTTGAATCTGTCATCCCAGTAGTAAGCACTTGAATCAAATCTGACCAAGCAGCATCTCACAATTCCTTGGCCTCAACGAGTGGCTCAGATAAAAGAGCAATCTACTTAATTATTCTATGTATTGATAATGCTGTACTTCATAAAATTTACCATAAAGGTGAAATTGATCTCTCAGTCAAGCAACTATGTGGGTGATCTTACTTCCTTACCCAACCTGTCTAATTCCAGAGGAATCTGAGGAATGCATTATGGATACTCTGCACTCACATTCAAGGCATAATTGCAAGTTTTCTTGGATATCTTTTCTTCTGTCTGGACCATTGACACTACATTTTAAAGTAACAGCTGCGATATGGACATGAAATGCTTTTCAAACTGGATATGAATATCTTGATGCTTCACTTCTTCCAGGAAAATGTTTGTCAGATTTATAATATATTGGTAATGCACATTACTTTTCGAAGATATCATGAGGTTTTGCTTTTTAAATTTTTCTTATTTCATGAAGCTATTTCTGGAAATCTAGAAAAAGATGGTCAAATCATACTCTTCCAAATGATCTGGGATTCTTTTTTACTTTTTTAGCTTAGTAGAAATCTGGAGTTTTATCATATTATTTAAAAAATTAGCATAGGTATTTTATAGAATTGTCATTTCATTGTATCTGTTCTGTATTTATGGTTGTAGTTCCATCCTCAAACCTTTTTTTTTAGTTATTATTATATGACAGAAATATAATTCTACTTATAGGAGTTTTACAGGTTTTAGAGTGATTTTTAATTTTTTTTTCTATTCTATGTTCTGGTATTTCCTACCTTTTATATTATTATTTTGTCTTGCTATTATTTTCTATTTTGCATTATATTCTGCTTTTGAAAGTGTAAGAAATAAAATACATGTATTTGTGGTAAAAATAAAGTTACCAATATCATTTTATACATTTATTTATTATTATTATTATTTTTTTTTTGAGATGGAGTCTTGCTCTGTCACCCAGGCTGGAGTGCAGTGGTGCAATCTCGGCTCACTGCAACCTCTCCCTCCTGGATTCAAGTGATTCTCCTGCCTCGGCCTGCTGAGTAGCTGGGATTACAGGTGCGCGCCACCATGCCCGGCTAATTTTTGTATTTTTAATAGAGATGGGTTTTCACCATGTTCGTCAGGCTGGTCTCAAACTCCTGACCTCGTGATCCACCTGCCTCGGCCTCCCAAAGTGCTGGGATTACAGGCATGAGCCACCGCGCCCAGCCTATACATTTATTTATTAAGTGAAAAATAGTACAGTGTCCTTTACTCCACCCTTTGTTCATTGGCTGCTGGACACATTCTCTTACAAGATATAACATTGGGAGTCCAGTTTTTTGATGCCTTTTGTTCCTACGTCAGTTCCCAGTGTCTAATGTAATAGTATAGATTGGCCCAAGATGGGGTCCATTCATTTTCTGACTACCTGAGTTATGTAAACCCTAAATGTATTATGTAAATGAAAAGCTTCAACATAAAATTTACCCTGTAAATATAACTCCTTCTGTCTCTATAAATGATCTACATAGCAACTATATAGCTTGAAACAGAAATTTGTGCTTTTATCACATGGCAATTTGGAATATGTAGAAAATATAATGGATAATTGGGGAAATATTCGAGATGTATTAGATCAGATAATTCAAATAGAGAAGAAACATCATAACAGTTGTTATTTCACTACTGACTTTAAAGCTCTTAGTTGTTGATGTAATGTGGACTAAGAATTAATATTAGTATTTACTAACTACCCTGCTTATTGTGGCAGAGCAGACAGTATATACCAATCCACATGACTGATTATTGTAAGCAATAAAAATTATTCCAGATATTGGCAATAAGTTGATTATTAGACTTCATTTACAGTGGTGTTATGTGAATTCACCTGTTTTTTGTTTGTTTGTTTGTTTCCTGAATGTGTAGTTCAGTCACAATTTAGAAGAGACTTGTATCAGGAACATAATCCAGGTAATATTTTAAACCTGAAATCTCACTGATTAAAACCACCATGTCACCCATTTACCTATATAACAAACCTGCACATCCTGCACATGTACCCCACAACTTAAAACAAATAAACAAATAAAATAAGCAAAACAAAACTGCTGGTTCAAAGTAATTCAGTTCAACTAAGTTCATCTTCACCAACAGCAGACTGAAAATAGGGCATGAGATGGTTTTCCAGAAGAGACTTAGGTTTTTCTGACTAGAAGAAAGGACAATGGGAAGTGGTTGGCTCACAATGATAAATGTTCTTTGAATCTGTACAAAATAAACATTTATTTTCCTAAGATTGTTATTACTTTGTTTCTCTTTCCAATTAAGAAATTTGATTATCTGATCTAATTAGACTACTTTATATTTAAAGTGGTATTGTAACAGGAAACTTCTTTGTTGTAATGAAAGTTTTATATGTTTGTTGTAGCAGAGTGCAATTAGCAGAGTATCTTTATTCTTATCTTGTTTGCATAACTGTCCACATTTGGAGCTTACCTCTGAAATGGTCTTGCTTTTCTTAGCATGAATTTCCTGCCATTCAATTTGAGGATAAACATTTGTTTATGTCCAACCCATTTATAAAATAGTGATATATTTTCATTCTCCATTGATAAGTCACCTGGTTATTTTTTAATATCTGTAATGAGGTTTCCTATATAACTGTGGTTAATGTACTTTTAAAAGTTAAGAGTGATAAAATAATTTGAAAATAATATGCCTAATGTAACTGAAATATATTTTGTCTCCAATAAATTATCATATTAGCGTTCTCTAGAGGGACAGAATTAATGGAATATGTATATGTATATATGTGTGTGTGTGTGTGTATATGTGTGTGTGTATATATGGAATATGTATATGTATATATGTATGTATAGGTGTGTATTCATATATGTGGGAGTTTACTAAGTATTAACTCACACTATCACAAGGTCCGACAATAGGCCGTCTTCAGGCTGGGAGCAAGGAGAGCCAGTCTGAGTTCCAAAACTGAAGAACTTGGAGTCCGATGTTCCCGGGCAGGAAGCATCCATCACGGGAGAAAGATGTAAGCTGGGAGGCCAGGCCAGTCTCTCTTTTCACATTTTTCTGCCTCCTTATATTCTAGCCGCACTCTGGCTGCTGATTAGATTGTCCCCACCCAGATTAAGAGTGGGTGTGCCTTTCCCAGCCCCCGATTCAAATGTTAATTTCCTTTGGCAATATAAGCAAGCAGAAAAATTTGAAAAGAGAGACTGGCCTAGCCTCCCGCACTAAATCTTTCTCCCGTGTTGGATGCTTCCTGCCCTTGAACATCAACTCCAACTTCTTCAGTTTTGGAACTCTGACTGACTCTCCTTGCTCCTCAACCTGCAGACAGCCTAATGTGGGACTCTGTGATGGTGTAAGGTGTAATTTAATACTTAATAAACATATATATGTTTATTATGTATATACTATATATTATAATATATTAATATATAATAATATAATATAATATTATATATTATATTTAATATTATATTATTATATAATATATAATAATAAAATATTATTATATATAAAATATATAATATAATATAATATTATTATATATTATATTTAATATTATATTATATATAATATAATATTAAATATATAATAATATTATAATAATATTATGTATATTATTATTATATATAATAATATATAATATGTATAATATATATTATATATATAATAAAAATATATATTTATATTCCATTAGTTCTGTCCCTCTAGAGAACCCTGACTAATACATGAACACACTTTGGTAATATTAAAACTTTCAAACCAAATAGGGTAAACAGGCGCTCACAGAAACTGATGTCCTAGAATGACTGTTTCCCATCTCTAATTTACCTATTTATTTTACTTAGTGGTTTGTAGATGCCAATAACGGAATCTACTCTAGACGGTTGGTGCAAAAAGCAATCTAATACATGATTTTAGGTTCATACAAGCTCATTGGTAGAGGTGGAGAAACCTCCAACTTGAACTTCCTGGAAAATTCCTGTATTCACAAGCATGTTGCCCCCATAGGTGAAAAATCCTAATCTCACTGCAAAATTCTGTTACTACAACAAATGTTCACAGAAAAACATTACCATTGCTGCTGTAAAGTGCTAGATCAAAGCAGAAGCCCTGCACCTAGCTCCTCTAGCCACACAATTCAGTCTCAAATCAAAGTCTCTTGCAAGTACAATCAATAAGTAAAAAGAAATTCTTCCAAACTATAGCTTTAATGGAGGCTAAATTGTAATATTTTAAGCATTCTAATCACTGTATGCAAAAAGGAAATTGAAATGGATGTTGGAAAAGCCACTACATGTTATCTACTAGATTCCTTATTTTAAATGCATTTGTTTCACTGTCTGATTCATATGTGCTTCCATACTAGAAAAAAGGCTCCCAGAATTCAGGAGCTTTCTCTGTTTTTGTCATTACCTAATGCAACACCTTTCACATATGTGGTTCTCAAAAAATATGCATTGAAAAATCAAATAGCTTAATGCCAAAAATGTGGTAAAGGTTCTCGTTTTTTCCTGAATTAGTCAAGAATGATAAGAGAGAGAGCCATTATTGAAATACTAAAGAAAATTTTCCTTCCCCGGACAAAATATTTCTAAAGTGCGTTTAGTAGAATAAACATATCCTTAAGCTAAGAATACAGGGTAATGGAGACATAGCTTCCAAATTCAAACTTCGTATTTCAAATTGGATACTTCCCTGTATTGCTATTATACATTAAAATAAAGTCCAAAAAACTCTCACCTTTCTCCCTGACAAACTCAACTTGCTCCCTTTTTGTACCTTTTTAAAATAACAGACATTTTGATCATTTGTAAATATAAGCTAGATGATAGTAAATGCTACAAATATTTGAAAATCTTTCATTAGTCAAGCAACAATACAAAATCCTTAATTTGGCCAATAAGAATCTCTATCAGGAAGTCTGCACACACTTCCATAAACTCATCCTGTTCCTTTATTCCATACGTTATCCTGTTCCTTTATTCCATTGCATTCAATGATGTCTTAAATTCTTGAATGCAAAATAATTTTTCCTAACTTGCAAGTTTCCTCATAACCTAGGATGAGAACTTGCAAGGACAGATTGCAAGTTCGAATTTCTTGGTCACACCACTCCAACAGTAGTTTATGTTTATTTGTTTTTGTTTAAATTCATGGAGTTTAGCTCTCAATTTGGTTAACCCACTGAAATTAAGAAAGGCTGAAATTATCAGTCTAGTCAATAAGTAATTGTAATATACTATTTGTGATGCTAAATTGGTACCCATTTCCAACTAAGATTGAGATAGGAGGAAGATAAATTATTTTCTTCATTTACTATTTATTT
This sequence comes from Homo sapiens, assembly GCF_000001405.40. Classification (NCBI taxonomy): domain Eukaryota; kingdom Metazoa; phylum Chordata; class Mammalia; order Primates; family Hominidae; genus Homo; species Homo sapiens. The sequence goes on along the minus strand of NC_000013.11, from coordinate 87,339,232 downwards.
TTGACAATGGCTGGATAAAAGTTGATGTTTTATTTAAAATTGTTTATTTGATTCCAAGTTTTTCTGCTTGCAAACAACCTCTTTCTCTGGTCATAAAATTAACATTCTGTTTATAATTCATTCACAAGACTTAAAATATCAAAATAGGATATTTTCTTTAAAGCATTATGACTTACATAATAAGAAAAAGTTAAATATAATTTGTAAAAGTTACATGTTTACAGTACCTGTACCAGTACAGAAAATAGCAAATAGCATTATAATGATAATATATTTAATCTCTTATATTCTACCTCATATAATATTATAACACAAATATTATTTGGTGACTACCAAAGAGAGTACATGGTTTCTTAACATTTTAATCTAAAATAAAATCCCCCAAATTTTATTGCAACAAATGTCTAATTTTCAGAAAAGTTGAAAAAAATTTATATTGACCAACACAATTTGTCACCTCGACTCAAAATTAGTTAAGTTTTGCCACACATGCCAAAAATATAGATATTAAAATTTTGTTGCAGACAGTATGATGCTTTTCCATAGAATAGCTTAGAAAAGATCTCCTTAAAACAAGAACAGTCTCCTACATAAACATAGTAGGATATGATCAATCAGAATATCTCATCTATTTTTATCTAGAAAAATCTCCTGCCCATTTTGTAAAAATGACATTAATATGTTAAATAGATTGGAAAAATTTTGCAATTTTATCTCACATTCTAGTGATTTTCTCATTCTATCATTCTTTTATTAGCTGGAATTGTTTTATAAAGGAGAACTTTTCTTCCTAACTTGGATGACATATATATATATGAAATATGCATATATATATATATATCTTTTCTTGTAAAGGCTTGTTAAATGCTTAGTTTTTTTATTTTTAACTATCAATTTTCAGAGCAAGAGGGTGGTGTAATAATCAACTTCATTCTCATTCTCTCTTCCTATCTCTCCACTCTTGACTTAAAGGTTTTTATTTTAGATAGTTTTAAAATCATTTACAGTTAGTATATTTTTATGTCCCAATCTGACCATAAGGAAAACCTTCACACTGGTTCCTTGATCTTTCTAACACGGCCATTACCCCTTCCACCACCTTGTTAGTAGAAAGTTTTGTTGCTTTCAAGGATAGTCAGTGTTCTAACACTTGTCGTAAGTTCCCTGCGACATACCCAAAATCAACCCTTTCTTTATTAGTTTATTTTGGTAAGAAATTCTATTCAGACAGGAAAATCCAGATCACAGAATCTTTCATTGTTGCTGGGTTTGCATGCTTTCTAGGTCCGTTTTTGTGATGAAGGCCAGAAAATATATGTACTTGAAAAAAAGAAACCTAAATGAGTCCATACTGGCATTTTTCGGTATGAAATTATTATAGGAAATTTACTTAATTTCCACAATTATGTAATTTTAGGGTTTTTTTTGTATTTGAAAATCTTTGTTCTTGATACAATAAATAAATATGTACCTGCTGTATTCATCAACTTTTTTTCAAAATAGCATTACAAATACCATAATTGATAATATGTCTTTTAAGACTTTTTCAATCCTGCTAAGGTTTTACCAGAAGAGTTCTGTGATATTCAATTGGTTGAAATTACTATTTTTTTCTTTGTGAACTTAAGTAGGTTCATGTGTTTCTGTTTATTTTCTACTTAGAGAAATTGCTTTTTCTTTCCAAAATTTGATGTAATTTAGTTCTTTGAATACACAAAATATTTACAAACTTGCAATCTGTCTATTAGTTGGTACAGAGGTAATGGCAAAAACCATGATTACTTTTGCACCAACCTAATGCTACTCTATAACATATGTCCAGAACAGTGAACTATTCTGCTTCCTCTGGTATTTGAGAAAGCAGGGTATAGGGGTTGGGTACAACTGGATATAGAGGAAATACTGCCTCATTGATGAGTCTAAGATTTTGCACTAGTCTCCACTGATCATTCGGTTTTTGTACTCCTAGAATTGGGGTGTTGCAGGGACTGCTGCATTTTCTTACTAAGCCTTGAACATTTAAATGTCTAACAATATCCTGTAATTCTTTATGAGCTTCAGGCCTTAAGGGATGTTGCCTTTGATAAGGAAAAGTGGTGGCGTCTTTTAGCCTGGTTTGGACTGGGTGGGCATTTTTTGCCCTTCCAAATTGTCCTTCCAATGCCCAGACTTCAGGGTTGATTTCCTCCTCAAGTAGGGGACAATAAATGGGTAACTTGTTCCCCTTATTCATGTAGATAATAGCTCCAGCCTTGGCTAATATGTCCCTCCCTAATAAGGGTGTGGGACTTTCAGGTGTAACAAGAAAGGCATGTGAAAAGAGCAAAGTCTCCCAATTACAACTGAGGAGGTGGGAGAAATACCTGGTTACAGGCTGTCCCAGGATTCCTCGGATGGTAATGGACCTTGAGGATAGCCATCCAGGGCAGGAGATTAACGCTGAGAAGGCTGTGCCAGTGTCCAGGAGGAAGTCAATTTCCTGGCTCTCACTGGTTAAACATACACAGGGCTCAGTGAGGGTGATGACATGAGCTGGCGCTTGCCCCAGACACCCTCAGTTCTGTTGTTGGATCATCTGGTTGGGAGCTTCTGGCCCAGAGACCCTTTGTTCTCTGGGGCAGTGTGCCTTCCAGTGATTGTCTTGGCATAGTGGACATGGGCGAAGGGGCAGCTTGTTTCTCGTTGGACAATCTTTTTTAAAGTGTCCTTGCAAGCCACACTGATAACAAACCTTATCAGGTGATTGGCCTGCTCCATTTTCTGTCCTCTCTGAACCACCAAGGTTTGTTTGTCTGAGGGCCATGACTAAGGCTGCGGCCTTTCTCTTATCTCGCTTTTCCTTTTCGGCCTGTTCTTCTTGGTCCCTATTATAGAACACTGAGGTTGCCAGGCTTAATAATGCCTCCAGATTTTGTTCAAGCCCAGGGCTCACTTTGGGAACTTTCTCCTGATATCTGTGGCTGATTGGGTAATAAACTTATCTTTTAGGATCAAACAAGGGAGTATATTTTCTTGAGGCCTCCTGTAGCCGCTAGAGTAAGGCGGTAGGATTTTCCTTTCCCTGAGTTATGGTGGACATCATTGAATAATTCATGGGGTTTTTTCTAATTCTTCTTAGTCCTTCTAGAACACAGGTCAACAGATGTTTGCGACTCCAGTCCCCATGATCTGAGTCTAGGTCCCACTGGAGATCCATACTGAGGATGGCTTGCTGAACAGTAGGGAATTTGTCCCTTTATTCGGCTGTCATTCTATCATTTGCTTGACTAAGATACCAGGTTATCTCCAAACTCTCAGGCTGTAGCTAAAGCCACATTCTTTTCATTAAAGGCCAGGGTTTGATCTAACAATAGCATGACACCTCTCCAAGTGAGGTCAAAAGTTTGCCATAGACCCTGTAGGACATCTATATACCTATCAGGATCATCTGTAAACTTCCCCAGGTCTACCTTGATCTGCTTTAAATCAGAGAGGGAGAAGGGGACATGTATCCGGGTTGAGCCAAATTCCCCTCTCCCTACAGCTTGAAGGGGACATAAACGATAGCCCGGGGGGTTTTGTGGTCCCTTGGAGATTTCCTTGCTTGCTTCCTTCTGGGTGGGGGAGATTAGAGGAGGCTTATCATTAATAGGAAGGGAAGCTGTAAGGAGGCTAGGATATGGAGGTAAGTTGAGAAGTCCTCCTGTGGGATGTAAATTGCAAGTTTTGCATAGTTGTGGATTATCCTTCAATAAAAAGAAAGCTTGGACATAGGTATTTCACTCCATTTGCCTTCCCTCTTACAGAAAAGGTCAAGTTGCAGGATAGTATTATAATTTATACTTCCTTCAGGTGACCATTTTTTCCCATCAGAGAGGGAATACTGGGGCCAGGCCATAATGCAGAAAAAAATGAGCCACTTACCTATTTTTCAGGATTTGCAGGTCAAATTGGTCCCAATGGCTTAGGATGCATTTCAAGGGTGAGCCTGTTGATGCCTGAGTGTTTCCCATCTGAAAGAAAAAACCTCCTGCAGTTTTTTTTTTTTCCCCTGCCCGAGAACCTGCAACAGTCCCTGGACCCTGCTGTTCAGAATAGTTGGCACTCACCAAAGCAGCAGCAGAAACACTAGTTTTCATCCTAGACTACAAAGAGGACTGAGAAAAATCGGATTTAGTGGCCCTTACTGATGCATTCTCAAAAATCAATTACAGTCCTAAGCATTTTCTCCTTTTAGTATTGGGACCTTACCCTTATCCCATAAAGATGATATGCCTCAAAATGGAGTGGAGGGCCATACCTTGAGGGAGGGAAGGGATCTCCAGGGTTGGAAGAGTGACACCTTTTGTCCTCACTTCTCATCATGTGAATAGGAAGGATAGCCCCCCAATTTTGGAGTCTGTAATTTCTGAGGCTCCCCATGTCCTAGCTTCAGGAATAGCCTTTGTTAGGCAGGCTAGTCTGAGGAGGGATTCTGAAAGTTTGGATGGTACCCCCCCGATGGGGCTTTGAGAAAAAACTATGTCTTTCTGATTGGTGAGCCTGGGTGCCTAAAGAAGGGAACAGAGCCCTGAAGTTTATACTAAAAGTCTTTATAGGAGAAACTAGAAAAGCACCAGAGACAGGGAGTGGTTTTTAGAAGCAGGACTAGCCTCAGAGAAGAGAGGCAAGAGAAAGTTTGTCTGATAGGTGTTAGGACCCAGGAGGCAAGGGTCAGGATAGATAGGATATATGGGTAAATCTCACTTGGGCAACGTAACTTTGAGAGTTCCGCTCATGGCTGCAGGGTAAACCAACTTTTTGTTGGGACCCTGGAGCTGAATGGCTTTTCTGTCTGTTGACCTTTGGCTCAGCCCAAAGTACAGGAAAAGTGGAAGCTGGTTCCCAGAAAACCGACGCTCCCGACTCCGAAGTGTCAGGGTTTGTTAGAGAGCCCTTTCCCAGAAAGACTGATACCCATGTCTTTAGTGTTGTAGCTGCACTAGTCGCTTTTAACTGGGTGACAGGTGCCTGGTGTTTAGCCCCCAAATTCTAAAGAAAAATAGGACAGAATGGCAAGCAAAAGGGGTCCGATGGTACTCACCACATGACAATATCCCAGAGGAGCTCCCAAGATGTGTCCAGAGTTGGTTCCTGCCAGTGGGTTTGTGGTTTTGCTGATTTCAAGAATGGAGCCATGGACCTTCGCAGTGAGTGTTACAGCTTTTAAAGATGGCACAGACCCAAAGAGTGAGCAGCAGCAAGATTTATTGTGAAGAGTGAAAGAACAAAGCTTCCACAGTGTGTAAGGAGACCCGAGTGAGTTGCTGCTGCTGGCTGGGGTGGCCAGCATTTATTCCCTTGTTTGTCCCCTCCCATGTTCTGTTTTTGTCCTATCAGAGTGCTCCTTTATCAATCCTCCCTGTGATTGGCTAGTTTTAGGATCCTGCTGATTGGTGCATTTTACAGAGTGCTGATTGTTGCATTTTCAGGGTACTGATTGGTGCATTTTACAATCCCCTTGCTAGCTACAGAGTGCTGATTGGTGCGTTTTTACAGAGCACTAATTGGTGCATTTTATAATCCTCTTGTAAGACAGAAAAGTTCTCCAAGTCCCCACTCGACCCAGCAAGTCCAGCTGGCTTCACATCTCAACGTGACTTGGCTGCCGTTAAAGGCATTCAGTTTTATAAAGGAAGCAGAGCATACAAGTTTGGAAAATTTGCAGCCTGATTATGTGATAGAAAAGAAAATCCCATTTTCTGTGGAGAAATTCAAGCTGGCTACAGAAATTTGCATAAGTAGCAAGGAGCCTAATGTTAATCCCCGAGACCATGGGCAAAATGTCTCCAGGCCACGTTAGAGACCTTCATGCCATCCCCTCCCATCATATGCTTGGAGATCCAGGAGGAAAAAGTGGTTTTGTGGCCTGGGCCCAGCGTCCATGTGCTGTATGCAGCCTAGAGACGTAGTGCTCTGTGTGCCAGCTGCTCCAGCCATGGCTCAAAAGGGCCAATGTACAGCTTGAGCTTTGGCTTCAGAGGCTGGAAACCCCAAGCCTTGGCAGTTTCCACGTGGTGTTAAGCCTGCAGTTGCCCAGAAGTCAATAATTGAGGTTTGGGAACCTCTGTCTAGATTTCAGAAGATGTTGGAAATGCCTGGATGCCTAGTAAAAAGTTTGCTACAGGGTCAGGGCCCTCATGGAGAATCTCTGCTAAGGCAGTGCAGAAGGAAAATGTGGAGTCGGAGAACCCCCAAAGAGTCTCTATGGGGCCCTGCTTAGTGGAGCTGTGAGAAGAGGGCCACTGTCCTCCACACCCCAGAAGGGTAGGTCCACCGACAGTTGGACAGATCCACCCACACTTGCACTGTGCACCTGGAAAAGCCACAGACACTCAACTTCAACCCATGAAAACAACCAGGAGGGAGGCTGTACCCTGCAAAGCCACAGGGTCAGAGCTATCAAAGACCATGGGAACCCACCCCTTGCATCAGCATGACCTGGATGTTAGACCTGGAGTCAAAGGAGATCATTTTGGAACTTTGAAATTTGACTGCCCCATTGTATTTTGGACTTGCATGGGCCCTGTAACCCCTTTGTTTTGGCCAATTTCTCCCAAGTGGAATGACTGTATTTACTCGATACCCATACCCCCATTGTATCTACAAAATAACTAGCTTGCTTTTGATTTTACAAGCTCATAGGTGGAAGGCACTTGCCTCGTCGCAGATGAGACTTTGGACTGTGGACTTTTGGGTTAATGTTGAAATGAGTTAAGACTTTTGGGGACTGTTGGGAAGACATGATTGATTTTGACATATGAGGACATGATATTTGGAGGGGTCACAGGCAAAATGATATGATTTGGCTGTGTCCCTACCCAAATCTCAACTTGAATTGTGTCTCCCAGAATTCCCACATGTTGTGGGAGGGACCCAGGGAGAGGTAATTGAATCATGGGTGTTAGTGTTTCCTGTGCTATTCTCGTGATAGTGAATAAGTTTCATGAGATGTGATGGGTTTATCAGGGTTTTCCGCTTTTGCTTTTCCCTCATTTTCTCTTGCCGCCATCATGTAAGAAATGTCTTTTGCCTCCTGCTGTGATTCTGAGACCTCCCTGGCCATGCGGAACTGTAAGTCTAATTATACATCTTTTTCTTCCCAGTCTTGGGTATGTTTTTATCAGTGGCATGAAAGCGAACAAATACAAGCATGTTATTGTACTGAATACTGTAGGGAATTGTAACATGATGTTAGTATTTTTGTAGCTACACATAAAAAAGGTACAGTAAAAATACAATATTGTAATCTTACAGAATCAACATTGTATATGTGATCTGTCCTTGACCAAAATATCATTATGTGACACATGACTGTATGTGGTGTGTTTGTATATATACACAACATCCATATACTGTATATATAAACCATATATATATAATCATATATAAAACCATACGAACACACACATACTCCCCCTACACACAGAGAATATATGATTCCATGCTTCCAAATGTTAAAACTTGGTGAATGTCTTTGATAAGTATATGGAAAATCCTTATACTATGCTTACAATTTTTCTGTAACTTTAAAATTGTTTAAAATAAAAAATGTTAAAAGCAATCCTCTTATGTTTACAATTACCTGTTTATCTGAATGAAATTCTCTATCACTATTTCTTAAGGAAACAATTTTCAAGGAAGAGTTCTATTAAATAGGATAGTGTTTTGTGGGCCAAAGAATGCAGGATAATTTGGAGTTTCTGTCATTCCAGTGGGAGAGACCAAATGTAAGACAGGATTCTTACCAACAAGGCCTTGGGACACTGCCAGTCTGTCAGCATTGTTTTGCTCTGGCGCAGCTCTCCAGGACTTATGCAAGGTTGGGTAACAGCAGGTCCTGACCTGTAGGACTGGCTGGCAGAAACTGAAGCATGCAATCTCAGACTGTGTGACCCACATGGAAACTCCTGTGAAACAGCACAAGCCAGCCGAACAGGATGGTGAATGACAGTCTGAGAGCGGGTGACTGGGTTTGAGCAAGACAAAGACATCAGGAAACCTCAACATTAAAAGAGAACAACAGAAATTTTTATACTTTCTACATTGACCTATGGATGAACAAATGACAGAATACAAATTAAACAATGTAGTCTACCTATTTTAATAACCTAAGTGCATCATCACCAGAATATTGTTGAATCAGAGACAGAAAATATGAATGTATAGCTGTAAAAATATAATTTAGTAGATAAATCTTACTTTGCATTGAAGCCAGATTCTTTGAGACTAAATATAATATATTGAACATCAGAATGAAAAACTATACATAATAATCTAAGCAAAGCTAATATAAAAATATGTTCTTATATACAAGGTACACATTTAACATATATTTGCTCATATAGTGATAAAATGAACACCACTATATTTGGTTTAAGTGTTTTTTAACAATGAAAGGAAAATTAGGAAATAAGTTTCTTTTGAGACATTTTTGTGCTATATAGAGTACATGATGTATCATGAAGATAGGAATGGTTAAAAGCAGATATAGTCATAATTACAAATTAAGTTCAATTCAGTTTGTACATTTCCTTGAATATGGTACTCCAAAAGTACTTAGAAAAGTATGAGCAATGGACCAGCTTTGAGAAACAGTGTTTTTATAATATTTTTATGTAAAAAGAAATATGGAAGATGTATATATGCCAAAAAATATCAAAGGCATATGGAGGATGGTAGTAAGTAAAATACAAAAAGGCTCAGAAGTAATTACTAAAATCTTATGAGCATATTGTTTCCAAGAACAAATTTGCCTTGATATTTTTTTCTGATGAGTAAGATAATTTTTCTGTCTTCATTTACAATATAGCAGATTGGTGGGATTTGTGTAAAATCAATCATCAAGTATGTATCACTTATCCTAAGAAAAATGCCCAACTGCGTGCACTATCACTCTTTATGCTGATTATATAATAATAATAATGAGATATTAGTTGAAATGTCTCTTTCAAGCTTACAAATTTATTACTTCTTTCCTAATGAAGGACCAGAATATACATATATATATATATATATATATATATATATATATATATATATATATACTGGTGTGTGTATATATGTATATATACACACACACACACAAACATATGTGTATATATATATATGTAATGTAAATATTCTGATTTTAAAGAGATAACAGTCAGGTTGAGAGGATAAACATGATATAAATAATTACTAAGAGCATTTGGTAATATTATTGGATGAGGATTATAAAAGAGTTGCCACATTTTGTGATGAAAACATAGGCAAATGTAAGTTTATTTCTGGTTATGGAAGAAAACAATGAAGATATCACAGAAAAGGTGTTAGTAATTAGATTCTAAAATATTCATGGGCAATCTCATTAGTCACTAAAATAAGAAAGTGCATTCTAGGAAGAGAATAAGGTGTGTTTAGGAAATTACAGTCATGACAGATCAAGGTGAAACTATACAGTATCTCCTAGTTCAGTGAGCTTGTGACAAAAAAACAAAAACAAACAAAAAACTAACAAGACTGAAGGGGAGTGATAGGAATCACTTCCATAAAGATCATGGAAGGCTTCTATACTAAAAAATAAAATGTCAGATTGTGGCAAGTGATATACTATAGACGGATAGAAGAAAAATAAGAAGGTTTTGAAGATAATTTGAGGCAGCATGGAGACTATCATAAAATAATATCTATCATAAGAATATCTAATACTAGAAAGAGTTCAGTTCCTTTCAGTGACTCATCTGATTGGTTTAGGGTTAGTCCAGACAATAGCCCTTTTGAAATTTGGCTGATTTAGGACCTTAAATGCATCTGCAAAATCCCTTCACAGCAGCATCTATGTTAGTGTTTCATTGAGTAACTGGGAGAACATGTGTGCACATTAAAGAATGGGATCTTGGGGCCATTATGTGTTGAATTGTGTTCCCCTAACATTGATATGTTGAAGTCTTAATCTCCAGTATCTCAGAACGTGATCTTATGTGAAAATGGGGTCTTTGCCTGTATAATGAGTAAGGATGAAGTCATACTATAGTAGAATGGATCGCTAATTCACTATGATAGATGGTTTTATGAAACGGAGAAATTTGGAAACAACCATGTCTTTAGGGATCATGCCATTGCAGACAAATTCTCTGAGTTAGCAATTCAATTATTTCCCTCTATCATCTGTAGTTCTCAGGAATAAAAAAAAAATAGGATGTACTGGGGATGCAACATTCTGAGATAAAGAATAACTGGCTGAAAGAGCATAAGCTATGTTCTTGTTCTTCCTAGAAACAAAATGTCCTATAATGCTTTTACCCAGTAAAGTATGAAGCTCTGGGGTATAAAACCCAGGCTGGGCTGCCTTCGGGGGTCCCACAGGTGTGTTGCAAGTGAAGATACACAGACAAGACTCTCTCTGCCCCAGGCAGCTTCCCTGAGCCTCAAGGGATCTGCTCACTATGAAACCTGGGTTTCAGTTTTCCCTTGGTGGCTATCTGTAAGTAATAAACCTGATTTATGTAACTTATTTTGTATGTGACTGTTTTGTTTTACCAGACTCAGACAGGTAGTAAAAGTAAAGCCCAGGATGCAGTGGGCTGAAGTGTTAACCAGTGCACAGTCAACCTGCTCCACAGGCATATAAATAAGAAAATAGCTACCTACAAGACAAGGAGAAAGACCTGGAATACATCCCTTCCTCAGACCCCTCAGAAGGAACCAATGCTGCCAACACCTTGATTTCACACTCTTAACCTCCGGAACTGCTGAGAAAATAAACCTCTGCTGTTTAAGTCACCAAGTCTGTGGTACTTTGTTATAGCAACCTTAGCAAACTAGTACAGGAGCCCTTTTGAATTCTGCCTATTTAAAATGTTTTTCTGGTAGTCAGAATTCAATATTATCATCTTGTATCCACCACAGCATATTGGTGTGTTTCCTATGCCTGCACTACTCTTCCCACAACCATGGTCCACTTGACCTCATGAAATTAATTTATCAGAAAAGCTTTTCTTGATCTGCTTCAGGCTGGGTCAAGTCTCCTTATTACATATGCTCATAAATTCAAGTACCTTTACTTCATGGTAATAAACAGGGTTGAAATTTTACGTGTACTTGTATGAATATTTTAATAGCTTTCTACTTCAGTACAATATATTTTTCATGAAGGTAATGTCAGCATTTGTTTTATTAGACTATACACACATACACACATTCAGATTCTAAAAGGGCCTGCTACTCAGAAATGCTTAATAAATATTTGGTAATTCCTTAATTTATCAGCAATTAACCTAGTAAATAAAGGAAATAATATGGATTGACCAGATAGACCATCGAGGAGGAAGAAGGTTTAGATTAATCAGACGTTTACTCTCATTTTTCACATCTTAATTTAAAGTACTTATGAGACATGTATCTATAGTTATAAATTAAGGAGTTAAAAAGACACAGCCTGTCTAAAAATTAGGATGGAATTCAGATCAATAATTTGAAGATAAAGTGTATTTCTTTCTTTTAAACACAATAATGTGTAAATTTTTCAGAAAGACAAAATGTGAAAGTACTATTATTATTATTTTTAAGTTCCGTGGTTTACATGTAGGATGTGCAGTTTTGTTACGTAGGTAAAGATGTGCCATGGTGGTTTGCTGCACCTATCAGGCCATCACCTAGGTGTTTAACGCAGCAGGCATTAGCTTTTTTCCTAATGTTCTCCCTCCCCACCGCCACCCCTATTACGACCCAATGTGTCTTGTTCCTTTCCCTGTGACTATGTGTTCTCATTGTTTAGCTCCCACTTATAAGTGAGAACATGCTGTGTTTGGTTTCCTGTTCCTGCATTAGTTTGCTGAGGATAATGGCTTCCAGCTCCTTCCAGGTTCCTGCAAGGGACATGATCTCATTTTTTATAGCTGCATAGTATTCCATGGTCTGTAAGTACATTTTCTTTATCTAGTCTATCACTGATGGGCATTTGGGTTGATTCCATGGCTTTGCTATTGTGAATGGTGCTGCAATGAACATACATGTGCATGTTATAATCGAACGATTTATTTTCTTTGGGAATATACCCAGTAATAGTATTCTTGGGTCAGATGGTATTTCTGGTTCTAGATCTTTGAGGAATCCCCACATTGTCTTCCACGATGGTCGAACTAATTTACATTCCCACCAACAGTGTAAAAGTGTTCCTATTTCTCTGCAACCTTGCCAGCATGTTGTTTCTTGACTTTTTAATAATTGTCATTCTGACTGGTGTGAGATGGTATCTCACTGTGGTTTTGATTTGCATTTCTCTAATGATCAGTGATGTTGAGCTTTTTCTCATATGTTTGTTAGTCACACGAATGTCTTTTATTAAGAAGTGTCTATGTCCTTTGCCTACTTTTTAGTGGTTTTTTTTTTTTCTTGTAAATTTGTTTCAGTTCCTTGTAGATTCTGGATATTAGACCTTTGTCACATGGACAGATTGCAAACTTTTCTCCCACTTTGAACGTTGCCTGTTTGCTCTGATGATAGTTTCTTTTGCTGTGAAGAAGCTCTTTAGTTTAATTATATCCCATTTGTCAATGTTTGCTTTTGTTGTAATTGCTTTAGGCCATTTCATCATGAACTCTTTGCCTGTACCTATGTCCCGAATGGTATTGTCTAGATTTTCTTTTAGGGTATGTATAGTTTTGGGTTTTGCAAAAAAAAAAAAAAAAAATGAAAAAATTGAAAAAAAAGTGTGCTGTGTGCTGAGTATTTCTCTTATATATGACAATTAGCAGATTGTTGAGAATTTAATAAATAATTTACAGGAGTAGTAGGGAGAGAGGAAAAAGTCAATCTGAAATTTAAAAAAAAATCCAAATCTGTCCATTAATTTTTCAATGCAAACAAACAACTATGGCTCTGTGGTCTATGTGAATTTTTTCAATGGTTACATACTACATCCAGGAGAAAAACAGCTCACTGAATATCCTGCTGTCTAATAAATCAGTTTAGTTTACTCCCCATGCAAGCTAAGAAGACTGAGGGAAGGCCTGTTATAATTATTGTGGCGCCATTATCTCCATATATTAAACATTCTACTTCCTTAAAGAGGAAGACATTTTTATAGTTGTCGTCCACTGGAAGTAGCACAACCTCTGGGAGGAGGAGAAGGGATAAATAAGAGGGAATATTATGTTAACTCAAACACAGAAAGTTTTAATGTAATTTATTTAGTTACCAAGTTTCTGTTGTTCTCTTCTATAGAATCATCTGCCTGAAACATTCCATAGTCTGCTCCTCTCTTTCATTTCATCATTCAATTTTTTTAAACCAACAAACCTGCCTATGTACCCCTGAACTTAGAATAAAAGTTGAAAAAAGAAATGTGTATATCTCAACCTCTCCAATCTCACTATGGTGTTATGTCCTCGTGTTGGAGTTAAGATGTCACTGACTAAAAATTGTTTGTTTTGCATGGCAAATATTTTATATATTTACTTTAAAAATGAATGAATAAAGACTCAACTTGCCATTCTAGCATACAATTTGAAAATAATTCAAAAATAGAATGGAATTGCTAAAACAATGCCCCTCTCTCCTTATGTAAAAACATTTTCTCAAAAGTTAATCCATAAGATTAAAATAATATATGTTGGAATTCTCTTTTAAAAGGGCCTCTAAAACCTCAATGTACACATGTATCATTGCAGACGCTGATTCAGCCAGTCTAGGGTGGAGCTTGAGATTCTTCAGGTCTTACATGCACTCAGGTAGTGCCAGTACCAAAATTCAAGATTTCAGGATCTAGAAAAATGATTAATAAATTTGCTTAAAAAAGTCTCTCTCTCTCTCTCTCTCTCTCTCTCTATATATATATATATATATATACACACACACACACACACACACACACACACACACACATATTTTGGTATTAATGTTAAACTGTTTCTTCTAAACTAGAAAACAGTATTTCTTTCAGAGAAATTATTTTCTCTTTTTGAAACTATTACCAGCTATATCTACTCTATTCTCATTTGGTACCATAGTATGCAAAGCCCTATCTCATAAAACTCATGAAGTTATATATATATATGTTGAAGGAGATATAGAACCACAAAGCAACTGCATTTCAATTGTAAACACTTTTAGGATCTATGTGCTGTTAGTATTTAAGTACTGTACATGTTAACGTTTCAAACCAATTCTCCTGTAGGTAGTTCAATTTGTAATGATAGCCTTTTAATAGAAAACCCAATACCTTCTTCATTACAAAAACATTAATTTCATTGCATTTTCCTTGCAATTTAGCTATTTTCATGCCTACAATGTTTAGCTTCCATTGTCTTATATGTAATTATAACTCTTTCACTGAAAGCGATAAATTTTTATTACATATTATCTTTGTCTGAGTCAAGGTAAATGTTCAGATGGGTCTGTTTTATTTTATTGACATGTTTCCCTTGGTTCATTGTAAATAAATGTAACTGTCATTCGTCAATGTTGCCTATATGAACCATGAAAAAACAAATAAAAACTTTCACTGATATTTTTCCTCTTAATCTAAGGTCATAGAGATTAACTGTTTATTGATTCAAACTCAAAATTAACCCTGTAAATGTTAAAAATGAAAATAGACTTCACATGTAGTAAAACTCTATGAACTATATATCAAATTATATTACGATTAGCTTAAATCATTTTCTATTAAATAATACATGCTAAAATCATGTATCTGTTTATAAAAAGTTACAGTGTATTGTTCCTAAAAAGGAATTTAACCTGTCAACAAGTTTACAAGTTTATGCAGTATCTTAAATGTAGTCTCTAAGACTCCTTAGAAAAAAGGACCATTATTTTCTTTTTCATTTATATATGACATTTCATATTTAACAGATGAAGTTTTAATTTATTAAACATACTTGGAGTTTGAGAAGGAGTACGTAGAAAGTGATAGCAGTGAGGACTCAAAGACTCAAAATGAGAATGTTTATGAGGAAAGAGAAAAGGAAGAAAAGGAGTAAAATATATCACGATTTGTATTAATGAGATTCTTTCATTATTGCATTTTATTAGCTAAGCATTTTAGTAAATGTTGAAGTAAAACTCTAAAAGATCAGCTAGGAAAACATCTGCCTCTTATTTACTTTACCTTTATTTATAAATTAAATTTACTGTAGTTTGTGACTTTCTAAACTATCATTGCAAATCCAGAAAGTGTTTTTAAAATAGATAAAGATAATTGAGCAAATAGAGAAGTTTTAAATTTTTTGGAGACTATGTTTGCACAAAAACTAATTTCCGCTTTTTGAAACGACTGTTTATATTTAGATATTTGAAGATTGTCAGGTATATATTCACCGTGCAGTAAAACATTTAGCCCTTTATTAGCTCCATATTTATAATATAATATGATCTGGGAGAATCTCACTCAAATTAGGCAGAATTCTCACCACATCTTAGTGTTAAAACATTTTTGTGGCAGCTGTCTTACTGTTGAGTTGAGATATATTCATATTTAGTGATAAAAATATTTATGCCCCATTTACATCATCATGAAATTTGGCCTGAGTTTGAGTTTTGGCCACACACGGATAAAAATATGACTACTTTTAAATTTTGTATTTAATATTAATAAATGATACTAATTATTAATAAGCCAAATGTTTATGTATATTTTATGAGGCTATGTTATTATTTTATATATTATATATACAAATATTAAAATACTAGTGCAATGATAAAATTAATATTCATAACATTAATAAAAATATTTTAAAATAAATATTTAAAAAGTTAAGGTTGAGTTGTTATAGACATACTCTATCTTACCTGTTGGCAGTGGTATTGTTATTTCTTTTGTATTTTTTAAAAACAGATGGAACAGACAGATAAGAAGCCATCACCAAGTTCTATTAAACTCTGTATGGTTTTTAAAAAATCTTTTTATAATGTATTATTTTTCACTGAGTTTACATTAATAGTATCTTGATTTTTAAGTTGGGTATGGTGTTTTTCATAATATTTCAATGGCACATTATTCCAGAGCATATTTAGTGCTTCCTTTTGTTGCGGGAACCCTTCCAGACCAAGTAGAGTATAGGCCAGTGTTACAGAGAAATTAATATCCCCAGATACAGCCCTTAATTTATGATTGACAGACATTTGGTGTTCACATGGACCAGCTTCTGAGGAATTTGCCGCAACCTTATGAGCATCCAACAAATATAGGTGCTGCTTCATTTTTGCCATCTCAATCTCATATGAGAATCTTTATTGTGGCTCACCTACTGAAACATACAGGGAAGGTAATTTTATAAAATCTCGTTTAGACTAAGCAAATTTAAAATTTATCAAGCAAATACATTAACTTTCCTCTACCATTTTGCCAGTGACTAGTCTCAGAGTCATTATGATTTGAAATGGTAAGAATTGCTGATGAATTGTAATGCACAGAGGCTTTTATTTGGGATCTTGGAAGTGGACTGAGATGTCAAGTTTCACTAGAGTTAGACTGATGGCATGCAAACTAACATCCCCCATAAGAAGTTGAGATCCCACAAAGTTTTAAGAAAACTAGCTGTGGCCAAGTGCATGCATCCGTGAAACACAGATCACTGCTAAGTTTGGAATCTGACAACCCAAAACAAGGAAGGGGTTGATGCTTCATCAATCATGAATGCTGATGTGGCAAATATTGCTTTTTCTTGCCGCATCGTCCAGCTGTAATGACAATACTCAGGATAAGCCCCCAATCATACTAATTGCCCTCTACCCTTATCTATAGTCACAGTGAGCTGGAAGATTTGGGGTACTGTGAAACTTTGCCTCTTTCTTTTGCTGTTGTTTCCCAGTCTGTTCAGCCTCTCTGAACATAACACCAGAGAGGCTCCTGTTTCCTAATCATGTAGTTCCAAAAGTATATAGCCAGAAGTCTGACTCTTAGCTCAGAAGTCTGACTCTTAGCTCTGCTAGATTGCTGTGGCCTGCTCAAAGTGTGACAAAATGAGGAGGGACCACACACATGCTACTGCTTCAGTTAGCTATCAAGGCCCTGATCAATCCTCCTACAGTTGGTCTCCTCTTTGGCATTTGCACAACTCAACAATAAAAAAAAAATTGGTAGTTTTTTTGAATTTTAAATCAAATCTATAAAGATGAGAAGAGACTCTTTAAATATAAAAGCTCTATTTTTAAAAAGGATTATAACATGTATAAAAGTTCAAATAAATATATGAAAAAATAAAGTTAATATTTTTGCTGTTAAAAATATCTTATGGCTTCCCGCTTCATCCATGTTCCTGAAAGGACATGAACTCATTCTTTTTTATGGTTGCATAGTATTCCATGGTGTATATGTGCCACGTTTTCTTTATTCAGTCTATCATTGATGGGCTTTTGGGTTGGTTCCAAGTCTTTGCTATTGTAAATAGTGCTGCAATCAACATACCTGTGCATATGTCTTTATAGTATCAGCAACTAAGCTAACACAGGAACAGAAAACCAAACACCACATGTTCTCACTCACAAGTGGGAGTTGAACAATGACAACACATGGACACAAGGAGGGGAACATCACACACTGGGACCTATCCGGGGGTGGGGGGTAAGGGGAAGGAGAGCATTAGGTCAAATACCTAATGTATGCAGGGCTTAAAACCTGGATGACAGGTTGATAGGTGCAGCAAACCACTATGGCACATGCATACCTATGTAACAAACCTGCACGCTCAGGTCATGTATCCCAGAACTTAAAGTAAAATTTAAAAAAAGAAAAAGAAATCAATTTTAAAAGACAAAATTCAAAAAAGTATGCAAAGGTCATGAAAAGATAATTCATGAAAGCAAAAAGTATTAATCATAAGTTGAAAAGTTCAAACTCATTAATAAGTGAAGGAGAAAAACTTAACAAATAATTTCCATATTTATTTTCTCAAAAAGCCTCCCAACTTGACAGATTATTAAGAATATTTTTCTAGCCATTTGATTTTATATTTTACATTGTACTTATTAATATATATTAATTAGAGGGAGGAATGAGGTAAGTTAAAATTCAAAATTAATAATTTGTTACTTTTATAAAGTTACCCAAACATCATAATTGGCTGTTATTAATAACAGTTACACATTTTTTGTTATGATTATAATTTATTTATGAACTAATTTTGGGAAAAATTAATTACAAACAGTTTTAATATTCCAACAAGAATTATATCACACTAATTTATATATCGCTTATTCCTACAGATCCTGTGCATTTAAAAAATAAGTTCATGATTAGGTGTTCTACATTTTATTAATATTTAAATCACTGAAAGCAGCTAATGTATTTCAACCATGTAAATATTAGTTATATATTTGCATGTGTTCACAAGTCTCTATTCATATATCCATTCATTGTCATACACCTTGACTTCTATGAGATTTTTGGTTTTTCTCTTGTGTTTTCAAGGAAAAAATAATTTGGTAACAATAGTAGTAATATTAATTTATTTTTAAACTTTTTCATCTATGTCTATTCTTTTTTTTTATCACACATTTAGATATTTATTAGATAATCCCTCATTAGCAAATCAGGAACAAAATCTATTCAGGAAGCTCAGTGAGGGCCTAGGTCTTTGACCTCTTAGATACTTTCACCCACCCTCTATGTAACATTCAGTGAGGTGGACATAGCAACATTCTAGGAGCAGGATTCTGTGCCCTTTAGTCAGTGTCATTCAGTCAGAAATCCTCCTAATCCAATGTCTGGACACAGAATGATTACGGATAAAACCGTGGGCCCCATCGCTAAAAGATATGGGATATAGGCCACAATGGAATCTTTTTTTTTTTTATTATTATACTTTAAGTTTTAGGGTACATGTGCACATTGTGCAGGTTAGTTACATATGTATACATGTGCCATGCTGGTGCACTGCACCCACTAACTCGTCATCTAGCATTAGGTATATCTCCCAATGCTATCCCTCCCCGCTCCCCCCACCCCGCAACAGTCCCCAGAGTGTGATATTCCCCTTCCTGTGTCCATGTGATCTCATTGTTCAATTCCCACCTATGAGTGAGAATATGCGGTGTTTGGTTTTTTGTTCTTGCGATAGTTTACTGAGAATGATGATTTCCAATTTCATCCATGTCCCTACAAAGGACATGAACTCATCATTTTTTATGGCTGCATAGTATTCCATGGTGTATATGTGCCACATTTTCTTAATCCAGTCTATCATTGCTGGACATTTGGGTTGATTCCAAGTCTTTGCTATTGTGAATAATGCCGCAATAAACATACGTGTGCATGTGTCTTTATAGCAGCATGATTTATAGTCCTTTGGGTATATACCCAGTAATGGGATGGCTGGGTATAGATCCCTGAGGAATCGCCACACTGACTTCAAAAGAAGACATTTATGCAGCCGAAAAACACATGAAAAAATGCTCATCATCACTGGCCATCAGAGAAATGCAAATCTAAACCACAATGAGATACCATCTCACACCAGTTAGAATGGCAATCGTTAAAAAGTCAGGAAACAACAGGTGCTGGAGAGGATGTGGAGAAATAGGAACACTTTAACACTGTTGGTGGGACTGTAAACTAGTTCAACCATCTATGCCTATTCTTATGCTGTTTCATTACCTGGAATTTTCTCTCTCTGTCTCTGTGTGTGTGTGTGTGTGTGTGTGTGTGTGTGTGTGTTGGTGTGTGTATGTTTTATATACATAAAAATTGGAGATCAGGGCAGGTATATCTCATTGCTGACTTTGATAACACTATGTCTATTGTTTCACAGTTAAATACTATGGTAAGTGTTGGAGAATCCCTTTATCTTTAGCTCTTCTTCATTAATTTTCAATAATGACAATAAACTGTTGCATTTATTTAACTCAAAGCCCATCTTCACATTATCTTTCCTGCCATTAAATGTTTCTTCCTTCATTATTGTTTTCCCCAGTTTCTCCCTCTGGGAATAATTTAGAAAACTTGGTTTTAGTTTCTTTTAGTAATTTAATCGAAAAAGATATATTTTCCTTGCTAATTCAGTATCATTCCTCATTTAACATTTCTAATATAGTTCTATCAGCAAGTTCTAATATAAATCTTGCTAGTTGTTGCTGTTGTTTTGATAACTTATTCATAAGGAATTCCCACAACATTGACTTTCAACTTGTGACTACTCTTCTAAGAGGAAAGGGCCCATCTCATTATGAAGAATCTCTCCTTTTTCTATTTACCTGTACCCCATCTACCCTCGTGCCAAGTTTGGCAATATTAATGATACTTTGATCGGATCGCTTCCACATTTCCACTGTGCTATTTAATGAGAGTCAGAATGCTAAGATGCCCCATTTGTTCTTTCTAACATATCAAGTTCAGTATATATATCTAGCATTCTTAGTGGGCTGTTTCTTGTTAGGATGCCATCCTTCCTTCTTTCCAACACTAATTAATTTTTGCCTGTGTATTGTGTTTGTCAATTCTCAAAGAATATGCAGGTGGGAATGTAAACTACCCAGCTTACATTGCCTTTATACTCTACTTTATACGTGCCTTATAATCAAAATAAACTATGCCGAATCAACAGTTTTGTGCTTGGTATTTAAACTAATATATTCCCATGAAAGATATAATTAATGTGTTTGTCTTAGGAAAACAATCGCTAAATATCAATGTTTTTATTTAGCATTTTCCACAAAGTCATTTGAGGCATCCTGTGGTTTTGAAAGTTTTGTCAAAGTGATACATCAGCAGAACAAATGACAGTAACGTCTTCCAAGAAATCCTGGACAAAGTAAGCAAGATTATTTTAAAACATGTAAGTGATTCCAAAAACAAGAGCTCCCCATTTATTACTGGTCATTGATTTTGAATAACATTATCTTACATAAAAAGATTAAATTATTATAAAAACAGAATGGTAATTGTACTTGCCAGAAAATTTTCTTTAAAAGCCTGTAAGAAGTCACTGAATAGATTCTTGATTTTCCTGTGAGAGAAAAACAACGCTTCTTGTTAGAGTGCTTTTTCTTATGCTAACACCTGACTGATGGGTGGATTCTAGATATATCCTCTGTAAAATAATATGATGTATCTACAATTCAATGTCAACTCTCATATCTTTCATGAGCACAAAGAAAAAAATTGTTCCCTTTGCATCTTTTAATGAGGAGAAAACTTTCATTTATAAATTCAATCTACACATATTTAACACGATACTACTTTTATTTCATATATATTTAACATCTAAAGTTTATGAATCAGTTTAAAGAAAAAGAATAAAGTTATTTACAACAGTTATAATATGTTTGAATTTGTTATAAACCTATTGCACTTTTTTCCTAAGAGAATGATAGTAAAATTAACTAAGTTTTTTTCAAAATTAACTGCCTTGTGTCAGCATCAGCTGTGTAAATAGGAGATATGAAGAATGCTTAGTGAATTAAACTATAGAAAACAGTTGGATGTGTGAAAATCAAAACCTATATGTTTTCAAAGATTTTCTTTTATATTATTCACTAATTTTATTATGTAAGGAGGATTTTTTGCAAACTTTTCATTCATATTTAATGTATTACTGATATTTTTAATTTATTGTACTCATTTTTGTGCTTCTGATATATACAGAATCTTATTAATTTTCTAAGATTTCTTGCCAATTTCTTATAAATTTGCATTTTCAAAACATTCTTCCCTTTTTAGTAACACCCTAATTTTCTAAAATTGTGGTAATACTCCTAAAATTTGTAAGACTTATGCTTAACTTGTCTATATCTAAAAATAATAAAAGAAAAAAATAAATAAATTCATTATCAATCAATAAAAAATAATAATAATAATCATTATCATTACTCTTCTTCCAAACAGGAATGGAACCATGGAAAACATTTATTCCAATCAATGTTTTATATAATATCATTTTACTTAGAATAGCTGATTAATATTTTAACTTACAAACTTTAATGCCATTGCATGACTACTCTTTTCTCTAGTCAGTTTGCTTGCATTTGCCCACATGCCAACACAATTTTACAAGTAATTTTTCCCAGAATCTGATATCCCATCTGGCATGGCTTTAGCTAAAGTAGATACATCATATTGTTTTACAGAGGATATATCTAGAATCCACCCATCAGTCAGGTGTTAGCATAAGAAAAAGCACTCTAACCAGAAGCACTGTTTATCTCTCACAGGAAAATCAATAATCCATTCAGTGACTTCTCGCAGTCTTTTAAATAATGTTTTCCTGCAAGTACAATTACTGTTCTGTTTTTATAAGAAGTTAATCTTTTTTAATGTGAGATAATGTTCTTCAAAATCAGTGACCAGTAATAAATTTTGAGCTCATGTTTTGGGAATCTGCTTACACGTTTTAAAATAGTCTTGCTTACTTTGTATAGATACAGAGGTAAATAGGTAGATAGATAAAGTCACGCATCACTTAACAAAGGGGATAGGACACATTCTGAGAAATGCATCATTAGGCAATTTCCACATTGTGTGAACATCGTGGAATGTACTTACATGAATTTAGATGTCACAGCCTACTACACACCTAGGCTATATGGTATAGTCTACTGCTCCTAGGCTACAAACCTTTACAGCATGTGACTATACTGAATACTGTAGGCAATTGTAACACAGTGGTAAGTATGTGTGTATCTACATATATCTGAACATAGAAACATACAGTAAAAATATAATAGAAATATTTAAAAATGGTATACCTGTATAAGGCACTTACCATGAATGGCACTTTTAGGACTGGAAGTTTTTCTGGCTGAGTATGTGAATAAATAGTGAGTGAATGAGAAGGCCTAGGACATTACTGTACATTATTACAAACTTGACAAATAGCGTACACCTAGTATAAACTAAATGTATACCTATATATATATATATATAATTTTTTCTTCAATAATAAGTTAACTTGACCTTACAATAGCTTTTTTTTGCATTATCAACTGTTTCCAAATTTTTGACTCTTGTGTAGTGAACTTTAGCTTAAAAACAAATACATTTTACCGCTGAACAAAAACTGTATTTCTATTTTTACTCTTTAAGCTTCTTTCCAATTTTAATTTACTTTTTAGTTTTAAAATTTTTGTGAAAAACTAAGGCATAAATACACACATTAACCTAATCCTACACAGGGTCAGGATCATCAATATCACTGTCTTCCACCTCCACATCTTGTCCCACCAGGAGGTCTTCAGGGGCAATATCAAACATGGAGCTGTCATCTCCTATAACAATACCTTTTTCTGGAATACCTCCTGAAGGATCTGCCTGAGCTTCAGTTTACTTTTTTAAAAATATAAGTAGAAGGAATACACTCTAAAATAAAAGTTAAAAGTATAGTGTTATAAATACATAAGCCAGTAACAGTCATTTAATATCATTAAGAAGTGTTATGTACTGTACATAATTATACGTGCTATACTTTCATATGACTGTCAGTGCAGTAGGTCTGTTTACACCTGCAACACCACAAACATGTGAGTAATGTGTTGTGGTACAAAGTTACAATGCCCACAATATCACTAGCTGATAAAAAATGTTCATCTCTATTATAATCTTATGGGATCATCATATACAAAGTCGGCTGTTGACCAAAATGTCATTAGGCAGTGCAAGACTATAATGTATATTTACCTATAAAATAAAATCTATTATGAGGAAATGGCTATGGAGTATAATGAGTCTCAAGATAGGTAGTCAGCAAGCGAGAGACACAGGTGAGCTGACATTTTAGGTCTAGTTTGAAGGCTATTGTTTACATACCCAGAAAGAGCCAATGTTTCAGTTTAAGTTCCAAAGCAGGAAAACTTATCAATGACATAGCACAAAATAAGTCAGGCATAAGAAATTCTCTTGTATTCGGAAGAAGGTCAGCAATCTACTTTTCTGACACTACCAATTTAAATGTTAATCTCATCCAAAAATATCTTCACAGAAACAGCATTAATGATGTTCAATCAAATATCTGGACACTCTTGTGTTCTAATCGAGTTGACATATAAAATTAACAATCACGAGTTTACCCCTTATTGACCTGGCACCCATATGTATTTCCTTTAACCACACCAGATCTTCAAATGAAACAGTACAAGGTCATAATTCTGCCTAAACTGTGACTAAAACTGAAAACATACTGTTCCCTTTTCCAAAAAAGGAGGCACAATTTTTTGCAGATATTTACTCCTTTCCATGATATACTGTAAGTTAAATATCATTAAATGACGTCAGTACATCTTATGTTGCATGATGAGGGAACAAAAGAGAAAAATATATATTTGCTACACACAAACATTCATAACAAAAGAAGTCATTATAGTCCTCATTTTGATAACTGGTCATATAGTCAGACTTGTGCTTATAACTAACTTCTGCCACTTCCAATTTTGTATTTCCTTTCCCAACAGCAAGCAGCTGAGCTGGTAATGGTTCTTTACCTAATGGGGCAACCAAAATCTTCATTGATAAAGGGCCTGGACCATTAGTACTTCTGCCTGAATTGGGTTATGTAGTTTTTCCATTGACCTTAACTACAGGGCAAGCCCAAAGGGAGGCTCTGTATTTCATATGTATTCTTTCTTACCTCCATTGTGGAGCAGTTGTCTATTTTCCACTAGATGGTAAGGATCAATAACAATGGCCAGCACAGTAACTCCCATCTTTGTTGATTCAGAGGCATGAGGAGCCACAAGTGGCTAGGTGACAGTCTGAACTTTCATTTCAATGGAATAACTGTGTCTCCTGGTGAAAACATTGCTCCTCTTGGAGCTAAGACCTCTAGGCCAGCAGAGAATAAGGTTCTGTCTACAGAAAGCAACAGTTTTGCTATTGGATTACTCCTTGATTCATGGGTCTGAGAATCCTTGGAATGGGGAAAATATCACCATACATTGGATGCTGTTTATGAAAAGCCCAGCTTTCTGGAAAATCTCATCTCCATCCTGTAAACTATTACCACCTAGCTGCAATGGTAGCTGAGACTTCAAAAGGACATTCCACTCTTTTATCAAGCCAGCTGCTTCAGGATGGTGGGGAATATGGTAAGACCAATGAATTCCATGAGTGTACGTCCATTGTCATATTTTATCTGTTGTAATGTAAGTTCTTCATATAAGGAACAATGCTATTTAAATTATCATAATGGTGGATAAGACCATAAAAAGAAGCAATGACTACTGGCATTTGGGGCACTTTTAATGTAACTTAATCATTCCTTCCTGGCCTACTTGGGCCTAGTCACATAAATACCACCTCCATTTGGTAATGGAGTGCTGCTATGCACACCAAACTTTATGGCTTATTAGATCAGATAACACCAGCTCATGATGGGTAATTTAGGTTGCATGGTAAATTGCTGGCAAATCATTAATCATTTAGTTTTTACTAAGGCCCAGTAGCAGCCTGCACTAGGCCCTTCTTGCATTGCTATAAAGAAATACCTGAGACTGAGTCATTTATAAAGAAAAGATATTTTATTGATTCAAGGTTCTACAGGCTGTACAGGAAGCACAGTGACATGTGCTTCTGGAGAGGCCTCAGGAAGCTTCCAATTATTGCAGAAGGCAAAGGGGAAGCAGGCACAAGTCATGATGAGAATGGAAGCAAGAGCAAATGAGGTGGGGGATGCCACACACTTTTCAATGACCAAATCTCATGAAACCTCACTATTCCAAAGACAGCAACAAGTCATGATGGATCAGCCCCCCACGACACAAACCCCTCACACCATACCCCACCTTCAGCACTGAGCATTACAGTTCAACATGAGATTTGGGTGGGGACAAATATTCTAACTATATCATAAGAGTTGTTTCTTAAAAGGCGTGTAGTTATTCACAGAGTATTGCAGAACATTGCTCAGAATTTCTAAGGGCCTGCACTACAATTCATTTATAGGAGAGTGCCACAGGCTCCAAACAACAACCTTGATATGGTTTGGCTCTGTATCTCCACCCAACTCTCATCTCAAATTGTAATCTCAATAATCCATACATGCTGAGGGCAGGACCTTGTGGTAAGTGATTGGATCATGGAGATGGCTACCTTCATGCTTTTCTCCAGTTAGGGATAGAGATTTGTCTCAAGATCTGATGATTTTATAAGGGGCTCTTCTCCCTTCATTCATTTGCACTCTCTCACCTGCCACCATGTAAGATGTGCCTTTGCTTCTGTCCCATCTTCTGCCGTGATTGTAAATTTCCTGAGGCCTCTTCAGCCATGCAGAACTGCAAGTCAATTAAACCTCTTTCCTTTGTAAATTACCCAGTCTTGGGTATGTCTTTATAGCAGTGTGAGAATGTACTAATACATCCCCTATCTGCCACTGACTCTTTAAGCATCATTGGATCTGTTAGATTATATGGCCCAAGTGTCATAGGAGCTTGCACAGCATCCTAGACCTTTTGTAGAGCCTCTTTGTTTTCTGGGATACTCTTAAAACTAGAAGCACTTTGGGTCATTCAGTAAATGTGCCAGAATAACACACCCAAATGAGAAATATGTTGCCTCCAAAAATCCAAAGACTTCCACTAGGCATTGTGCCCTTTTTCTGTTGTTGTTGTGGGAGAGGATGGGTGCAATAAATAGCCTTTCAACTTAGAAGGGATATCTTTACACACCTCATACCACTGACCTCCTAGAAGTTTCACTGTGGAAGAAATTTTGTCACATATCTTTTCTATCCTCTGACAGAAAATGTCTTATCAATGAGTCTACAGTAATTGCTACTTTTTGCTCACTAGGTCTAATTAGCATAATATCATGAGTGTATGGACCAGTGTGATATCTTGTGATAGGAAAAGATGAGGAAGATTCCAGGGAACAAAATAATAACAAAGAAATGGAGAGTTGATATGCCCCTGAGATAGAAGAGGGAAGGTTTATTGCTGGCCATGCAAGCTGAAATCAAACTACTTATGATGGTCTTATTGACAGGGAAGGAGAAAAGAGCATTTGCTAGATCAATAGCTGCATATCAGGTACCAAGGGATGTGCTAATTTGCTAAAGCAGTGAAACCACATCTGGTACAGCAGCTTCCATTGGAATAACCACCTGGTTAAATTTATAATAATCCACTATCATTCTTCAAGATCCCGCTGTCTTCTGCACAAGCCAAATAAATTAGTTGAATGGAGATGTCATGGGAATTAACACCTTTGCATTTTTGAAGTCCTAAACAGGGGCAATGAACTCTGAGATCTCTCCAGGTGATCATGATTGCTTTCGGTTTACTATTTTATAGGTAGAGGCAGTTCTAGCAGCTCCTTCTTGGCCTTTTTCTCCATAATAGCCCTGACAACACAGGTCAAGGAATCATGTGATGATTCTGCCATCTGCTGAGTATATTTATTCCTATTATGCACTTTAGAACTGAGAAAATAACAACCAAATGGGATTGAAGACACACTAGGCCCAGCTTGAGATGGACTTGAGCTAAAGCTCCACTGATCACCTGAATTTTGTAAGCCTGTACTCTTACTGATGGGCCACACTGACATAGATGTCTCCTCAAATTTGAGTCAGCTCAAAGAGAATTTCTAGTAGTCCCTGAAAAGTCTGATTATTTCTTTTTTGTTTGTTTGTTTCATGCACACTCACCCAGGTTAAAGCCATATATCTCTTTGGAGAAGGCTAGGGGAAAAATAACAGTGTAAACTTTTGGCAATATACGGGGTCCTTGCACAAGAAGAAAGGGTCTCGGTATGTAAACTGCATTAGCCATGGAAATTGATTGAGGGACAATTACTGTCTGTTTTTATGTTTCATACTAGTATTTTGTTCACTTGACCTAGAACTTTCTGCTTATACAGATCAAGTACTAGTTTAGTATGCTTCCTTTTACTTTCACTATCACGTCTGGGACATCTTTCACTTCTAGGAGTAGCATGATCAACTAGTCAACACCATAGTTATACATGAGTCAGACTAATCTGTTTTCTGCTTTGGCACTGGAGACCACTGCAGTAACCACACCCATCTTGCTTTTAGTGCTTAATTGCCACCACTTGGCCCCTGTTCCCCAGGATTAAATTAACCCCTTTGAGTTTGGTTTTCCCAGTTCAGTAACTGCAGTTTCCACTGTATGATATGGCCTACAGGAAAGACCCATCAGAGAGCGCTTCAAGAATCCTGAGTTCCCAATCACAACTTTCTCAAAGTTTTGGAAAAAGGCATGTATTTTGGACCCTTCCAGAGTGGTTGAGTAGGTCTTAAATAATAAATTCACTCTAATATTCCAATCTCTCTAAGTCTTTGACTCCCTTCCTATGCATTGAACCAAAGCAGATGTGGCATTTCCAGCTTACTCGTTGTATGCCATTTTTTGGTCATAGTTTTATACAATGAGCCAAACAATCTATTAGAGTTCTTTCCAAGTCTATGAGTTGCAACACTAAATTCAGATTATCTGCCTTGTGAGTCCAGGTTAATACATTCAGCCTGATCCAGTTTATGTTCCTTCCACCAACATCCTACATCATTAATATTCATTCTTACACATGTCTCCCATATTTCTACCTGTAAACATTAGAAACTCAAATAGTTCTTTGGGATTGTAGTGCACCTTGCCATGAATCACACTTGACATCTCCCCTCTAGGAGTCTGCTGAGATTTGAGCCTGATTATAGGTCTAGAAACAAAGAGGGATTTGCTTCTTGAGAGTGAGCACTGAAGGCAATCAGCATTGTCTTGCATAGCAAATGCCTCATAGAAGTATCTATATAGATAGAAAGTGAGAGAAATATTATAAGACATTGGCTTACATGATTATGGGTGATGGCAAGGTGACAAATCCTAAGATCTGTAGTGGCAATCTGTAGACCCAGATAAGCTGATGTTTCAGTTACAGTCCAAAGGGAGGGAAAAAATGATGTTCCAACTGTAAAGCAGTCAGAAGTAATTCTCTACTACTCTTGGGATATTTAGCCTTTTTGTTCTATTCAAGTTTTCAACTGTTTGGACGAGGGCCACACACACGAGGGAAGAAAATCTGCTTTACTCAGTCTACAGATTTAAATGTTAATCTCATCAAAATAACCTCACAGTTACACTCGGAATAATGTTGGACCAAATTTCTGGGCATTCTATGGCCCAGTCAAGTAGGCACATAAAATTAACCATTTTAATGTTTACAGATTTTATTGTGTGTTACACACACACACACACACCAAGTCCTCCTCATGTTCGCTGGGTAATACGTCAGATAGTTTAGTAGATGGAGATTACAATGCCATGTATAGATTTCAGATAATATAAACACCCTCTAGTATCTAGTGTAGTAAAATTACATTGAAAATTATTATGCTGTTCCCTGGAATCATTCAGTTGAGAGAGAAAACAAGTTTTAGTTTCTTTTTTTTTTTTCTTTCTTTTTTTTTTTTTTTTGAGACGGAGTCTTGTTTTGTTGCCCAGGCTAAAGTGCAGTGACACAATCTCGGCTCACTGCAACCTCTGCCTCCCAGGTTCAAGTGATTCTCCCAGGTTCAAGTGATTCTCCTGCCTCAGCCTCCCAAGTAGGTGGGATTACAGGCATCCCTCCACCACACCCAGCTGATTTTTGTATTTTTAGTAGAGACAGGGTTTCACCATCTTGACCAGTCTAGTTTCAAACTCCCGACCTCGTGATCCATCCATCTCGGCCTCTCAAAGTGCTGGGATTACAGGCATGAGCCATTGCGCCTGGCCAGTTTCTTTTATTAAAAAAAAATTTATTGTGTGTTACACAAACACACACACACACCATTTAATTATGAGTATATATAAAAGTACTATATATAGTACATGATATATAAATACTATATACATACTACATGTTGTATAGTATATATAATATATATACTAGAATGAGATGATATTTAAATTTCAAATATAATAATTTCTAATAGATTTGGGTATACCATTATGTTAATTCAGGTAGCGACATTTATGGTATTCTTTTTATATTTGAAATTTGCTTTGATACGCTTTGTTTTGTTATTTTGGCCAGAATTGTAACTCACTAGCATACAAATATTTTGAAACTTGTATTTGTTATTTATTTTTTTGAGACTAGGGTCTATACAAATCTATTTATATAAAATCACATAAATAAGTTCACTATAACATAAATGTTTTATGTGAGTAGATCCCAGGTAAAGTTGGGTGCATGTTCCAGGCTTGGAAATAAATCAGCTCCACAATAACAATAAAAGATGTATCTTGGGATGATAGTGATAATGCTCATGTGTGGCGAGCCTATAACTTGAGGCACTTAAATATTTTGCTTTTAATTCTAGCAACTGTATTTTAAATGCATTAAAAGAAAGCTGGAAAACTTTAATCCTATGTAGCCAGTTCAAGAGTATCCATTATTACCCCACACCCACCCTCCTTGCCTACAGACTACTATTCCTAGACTAGGAGACCTCTGAGATTGGAATAGACAAGATAATGGAGATAGTTTTGAAATAATAAAGCATGATAATAAATACCTTACTTTTGACTCAACTATGACGACACCAGATGGCAAACAGGATACATCAAGTCCTCCTCCAAGTTCACTGGGTAATACATCAGATAGTTTGGTAGATAGAGATTGCAATGCCATGTATAGATTTCAGATAATATAAACACCCCATAGTATCTAGTGTAGTGAAGTTACATTGAGAATTATTATATTGTTCTCTGGAAGCATTAAGTTAATGGGAAAAAAATAAGATTTTAGTTTTCTTCTTTGTTTAATTTTATTTTAGTTTCAGGAGTACATGTGCAGGTATGTTATATAGGTAAATTGTGTCTCATGGGAGTTTGGTATACAGATTATTTTGTCACCAAGATAGTAAGTATAGTACTTTATATATAGTTTATGAACCTCTCTCTACTGCCAACTTCCACCATCAATTAGGCCCCAGCATTCATTGTTCCCATCTTTGCGTCCATATGTACTCAACGTCTAGCTCCCACTTATAAGTGAGACCATTCCATGTTTGGATTTTTGCTTCTGTGCTAGTTTGCTTACGATAACGACTTCTGATACCATCCATATTGCTGTAAAATACATAATATTGTTTTATTATGACTACATAGTATTCCATAGTGTTTGTGAACCACATCTTTATTTAGCCAGTCTACCGTTGGTGGGAATTTAAGATGATTCCATTTATTTGCTATTGTTAATAATGTGGTGATGAACACACAAATGCCTGTGTTTTTATGGTAGCATGAGAATATCTTCTCTCACTACTCCTATTCAACGTAGTACTAGAAGTCCTAGCCAGAAGAGTCAGGCAAGAGAAAAAAAATAAAAGACATCAGAATAGGAAGAGAGGAAGTAAAACCCTCCCTGTATGCAAACAATATGATTCTTTTTTTTTTTTTTTTTTTCTGAGACAGAGTCTCGCCCTGTAGCCCAGGCTGGAGTGCAGTGGTATGATCTTGGCTCACTCCTACCTCTGCCTCCAGGGTCCCGGTTCAAGCAATTCTTCTGCCTCAGCCTCTCAAGTAGCTGGGATTACAGGCAAGCGCCACCATGCCCAGCCAATTTTTGTATTTTTAGTAGAGATGGGGTTTCACCATGTTGGCCAGGCTGGTCTTGAACTCCTGACCTCGTGATCCACCTGCCTCAGCTTCCCAAAGCGCTGGGATTACAGGCGTGAGCCATTGTGCCTGGTAACAATATGATTCTTTTTCTTTGGTCTAATTTTTGCCTAGAATAATTTATTAGGGCCATCCAGATATAGTAGAAAAAAATGGTTTTCTAATGGTATGCTGTTAAAATAATAAAGTATATTAAAATTTCTAATTTGTCATTTTTTTATTATACTTTAAGGTTTAGGGTACATGTGCACAATGTGCAGGTTGGTTACATATGTATACATGTGCCATGTTGGTGTGCTGCACCCATTAACTGGTCATTTAGAATTAGGTATACCTCCTAATGCTATCCCTCCCAACTCCTCCCACCCCACAACAGGCCCCGGTGTGTGATGTTCCCCTTCCTGTGTCCATGTGTTCTCATTGTTCAATTCCCACCTATGAGTGAGAACATGCGGTGTTTGGTTTTTTGTCCTTGTGATAGTTTGCTGAGAATGATGGTTTCCAGCTTCATCCATGTCCCTACAAAGGCCATGAACTCATCATTTTTTTATGGCTGCATAGTATTCCATGGTGTATATGTGCCACATTTTCTTAATCCAGTCTATCATTGTTGGACATTTGGGTTGGTTCCAAGTCTTTGCTATTGTGAATAGTGCCGCAATAAACATGTGTGCACATGTGTCTTTATAGCAGCATAATTTATAATCCTTTGGGTATATACCCAGTAATGGGATTGCTGGGTCAAATGGTATTTCTCGTCCTAGATCCATTTACGCAGCCAAAAGACACATGAAAAAATGCTCATCATCACTGGCCATCAGAGAAATGCAAATCAAAACCACAATGAGATACCATCTCACACCAGTTAGAATGGCGATCATTAAAAAGTCAGGAAACAATAGGTGCTGGAGAGGATGTGGAGAAATAGGAACACTTTTACACTGTTGGTGGGACTGTAAACTAGTTCAACCATTGTGGAAGTCAGTGTGGCGATTCCTCAGGGATCTAGAACTAGAAATACCATTTGACCCAACAATATGATTCTATACCAAGAAAACCTCACAGTTTCAGCCCAAAAGGTCCTTGGTCTGATACACAACTTCAGCAAAATCTCAAGATACAAAATCATTGTACATAAATTCATAATATTTCTACACACCAATGACATCCGAGCTCCAGAGCCAAATCAAGAATGCAATCCCATTTACAATAGACACAGAAAGAATAAAATACCCAGAAAAGATGGCTAGCTAAAAAGGTGAAAGGCCTCTACAGCTAGAAATACAAAACACTGCTCAAATAAATCAGAGACGATGCTAACAAATGAAAACCATTCCATGCTCATGGATAGGAAGAATAAATATTGTTAAAATGGCCATACTAAGAAAAACAATTTACAGATTCAATGCCATTTCTATCAAACTATAAAAAACTATTTTAAAATTCATATGGTACTAAAAAAGAGCCCAAATAGCCAAGGCAATTCTAAGCACAAAGAACAAAGCTGGAGGCATCACACTACCCAACTTTAAACTATAACTAAAGGGCTACTACAGTAACCAAAACAGCATGATACTGGTACAAAAGCAGACACATAGACCAACGGAATAGAATAGAGAGCCCAGAAATAATGCCACACACCTATAAGCATCTGATCTTCAACAAAGTCAACAAAAACAACCAATGGGGGAAGGACTCCCCATTCAATCAGTGGTTTGGGGATAATTGGCTAGCCATATGCAGAAGATTGAAACAGGAAACCTTTCTTACACCATATACAAATATCAAATCAAGTTAGACTACATACTTACATGTAAAACCTGAAACTATAGAAACCCTTTAAGGTAACCTAGTAAATACCATTCTGAATATAGGACCTGGCAAAGATTTCATGATGAAGTTGCCAAAAGCAAATTCAGCAAACACAAAAATTGACAAGTGGGGCCTAATTAAACTAAAGAGATTTTACATAGCAATAGAAATTATCAACAGATTTTACAGACAACCTACAGAATGGGAGAAAATATTTGCAAACTATGCATCTGACAAAGGTCTAATATCAAGCATCTATATGAAATAAAAAAATTTACAAGCAAAAAATAAATGACCCCATTAAAAAGTGAGAAAAGACGTGAAAATACAGTTTTCAAAAGAAGACACACACAGTGAATAAGCATATAAAAGATTCTTAACATCACTAGTCATTAGAGATGTGCAAATCAAAACCACAATGAGATACCATCTCACACCAGTCAGAGTGGTGATTATTAAAAAGTCACAAAATAACAGATGCTGGTGAAGTTGTGGAGAAAAAGGAAAACTTGTACATTGCTGGTGGGAATGTAAGTTACTTCAGCCATTATGAAAAGCAGTTTGACAATTTCTCAAAGCACATAAATCAGAATTACCATTTGTATTAATCTGTTATCATGATACTAATAAAGACATACCTGAGACTGGGTAATTTATAAAGGAAGAAGGTTTAATTGACTCACAGTTTCACATGGCTGAAGAGGCTTTACAATCATAGAGGAAGGCATAGGAGGAGCAAAGTCATGTCTGACATGGCAGCAGGCAAGAAAGCATACAGGGGAACTCCCCTTTATAAAACCATTAGATCTCATGAGACTTATTCACTATTATGAGAAGAAGACAGGAAATAGCCACCCTCATCTTTCAATTACCTCCCTCCAGATACCTCCCATGACACATGGAGATTATGGGAGCTACAATTCAGGATGAGCTTTGGGTGGGGAAACAGCCAAACTGTATCACCATTTGACCCAGGAATCCCATTATTGGGTATATACCCAAAGGAAGAGTTCATTTTTGAACATCAGTTATGAAATCTCTAACATTCCTAATGGTTATGTGTATTTGTCAGTGTTCTCCAGAGAAACTGTGCCAATAGGAGATACACACACACACACACACACACACACACACACACAGAGAGAGAGAGAGAGAGAGAGAGAGACAGAGACAGAGAGACAGAGAGAGAGAGAGTTTAAGAAATTGGCTCTTGTGGGACTGGGCCCGGTGGCTCACGTTTGTAATCCTAGCACTTTGGGAGGCTGAGGCAGATGGATCACGAGGTCAGGAGATCAAGACCATCCTGGCTAACACAGTGAAACCCTGTCTCTATTAAAAATACAAAAAATTAGCTAAGCATGGTGGCGGGCACCTGTAGTCCCAGCTACTCAGGAGGCTGAGGCAGGAGAATGGCGTGAACCTGGGAGGCGGAGCTTGCAGTGAGCCTAGATCACACCACTGCACTCCAGCTTGGGTGACAGAGCGAGACTCGGTCTCAAAAAATAAAAATTAAAATTAAAAAAGAAAAGAAATTGGCTCTTGTGAATGATTGTGTGGACTGGCAAGTCCAAAAACTGTAGAACAGGCTGGTGGGATGGAGATTCAATGAGTTGATGTTACAGTCTTGAGTTTGAAATCTGCAGGCTGGAAATTCAGGCGCAGTCACTATGTTGCAGTCTTCAGACAGAATTGTTTCTTTGGAAAATTTGTTTTTGCCCCAAATGCTTTCACCTGATTAGAAGAGACCTGTCCACATGGTGAAGAGTAATATCCTTTACTCAAATTCTGTTTATTTAAAAGTTTATCAAAACTACCAACATTGTTACAGCATCTAGACTGGTGTTTGACCAAATAAACTGGATACCATAGCCTAGTCAAGTTGACATGTAGAATTAACCATCACAATATTTTAATCCAGGAGGTTTTATGTTAGCTGGGGGATCAGGGCAGGAGATATAAATGTACGCATGTAGATTAAAGCATAAGATTTGGTGAGATTTTTCTAAGTGAACATGCAGATTAAGAAGTGCCCCAGGAGCAAGTTAACACCATGTTACATGGCTGCAGGAATTACTGTAAGACAGAGATATATAAGTAAGAATGACTGCTCTATTAATAGTAGGAAAATCAGGAACTGCATATAGCCATAGACATAATAGATATATATTCATTTTTCTGTGGTTTCTTAGATGGCAATGAATTTGTAAGTTCTCAGAGGGAACATCATTGTTTAGCTTCCAAAATAAAATTATTGTTTTAGAATTACTTTTTTGTTGTTGTTCATTATTTTTGAATAGCTCTAGTTTCCTGTTCATTCAACTATGATTACTTTATTTCCAGCAGTTCAAAATGCTTCATTTTTTCATTAATTATTTTAAGTTTTTCTATAAATATTGCCATTTATGTTTTACTGTAATGGGTATTATTGCCATGTTAGGCACAGATATTTTATAAGATGCTTTATTCATTTGCTATTTATTATTATTGTAATTAAAACTAAATATCCTTTTCATGTAGATTTCACATAATTTATAATAAAAGAACATTTTGTTTGGAAGTCTAGCCACCTCCTGCTATTAGATAAAATTATTCTGGAACATTAAAGCCACACTCACAAAAAGCCCTTCAATCATTCAAGCACAATAAATGCATTGAGACAGTTTTGCACTTGTTTATTTGTTCTGGAAGTCATCCAAATTAACTTGTAATTCTAAATAACCACAGATGCCAATGCAAAGTAATTTGAAGTGACAACATATCAGTTTAAAGTGCATCCATAGCACTAGGTGTTACATTCTGCGTACATCAGGTTCAACCAGGGCATTCCATTATGAGAGTAACTGATTTTCAGCATGAACAGAAACAGTGATAAAACAAATTATTCCACCAACTAATAGACTTAACAGGGATGGCAGCTTTTGTTCAGAAATAAGGCAAATTACCTTTATTTAATTATTTTAACATCAACTATCTGCTAATTATATCAGCTAGGTTTCCCAGGTATATTCATCTCTAAGAAATTGCTCATGTTGAAGGAAATATTATTTCTTCAAAAGATTTACCTAGAAATGACTGGTTTCTCAATTATCACAGAATCTTTAAGAATTTACAATCAAATTTTTGAATATTTATTCTC
The DNA here is from genome assembly GCF_000001405.40 of Homo sapiens. NCBI lineage: Eukaryota > Metazoa > Chordata > Mammalia > Primates > Hominidae > Homo > Homo sapiens. The sequence continues at coordinate 87,302,736 of NC_000013.11, read as the reverse complement.
ATGTACCTGACATTTCCAGAGGTACCGTTAATACGTTGCTTACAAAATATGTACAAAACAAGTTTTTTAAATCCAATGTTTTTTAAAAACATCCATTATAACATGGGAGAAGTTTGATTCAAATGCAATCTAGGGTGTAAGCACTAAAACTTTTTGATTCATAATTGAAGAACATTCAACCATGACATAAATATATTTTTTGTTTACTTTTATTCCAATCTGGACCCATAAGAAACATCAAATTTGTTATAAATATCTGTTTGTGTTCCTTTTGTATGTGAATGTACATTTTTGGCTACTATTTTCTTAAGATAGTCTTTTTTCTTGAACTTTTATAATAGTACTTCTATTTTGACAGGAAAATTAACTATCTGAATTCCTTTTTAAATTAAAAATAACTTTTAAAATACTATTTTATTTATTTTGAGACAGGGGCTTGCTCTGTCATCCGTGCTGAAGTGCAGTGACACAATCACTGCTCACTGCAGCCTCGACAAACCAGGCTCAGGCGATTCTCCCACCTCAGCCTCCTGGGTATCTGGGGCCACAGGTGCATGCCACCAAAACCAGCTACTTTTTTTCTTTTTAAATTTTTTTGTAGAGACAGGGTTCCCCCTTTGTTTTCTAGCCTGTATGATTGTATGATTCTAGCCTGGTTTCATACTCCTGAGCTCAAGTGATTCTCTTGACTTGGCCTCCAAAAGTGCTGTGATTATAGGATTGAGCCACTGTGCCCAGACAAAAATAACTTTTTTTTAAGAGCACCTTTAAGTTTAGAGAAAATTAGGTAGAGAGAACAGATAGTTTCCACATACCTGCTGTCTCCCACATTCAGTTTTCTTATTAACAGCTGGCATTAATTTGGTTCATTTATTACAACTGAAGAACCAACATTTATACATTATTATTAACTAAAGTCCATATGTAACATTCAAGTTCACTCCGTATTGTACACTTTGGGCTTTGGCAAATATAAAATGACATGTATCCACCATTACAGTATTATACAGAGAAGTTCCATTGCCCTAAAAATCACTGTGTTCCTCCCAGCCATTATTTCCCCCACCCACCCATGGAAACAACTATCTTTTTTTTTTCTTATTATTATTATACTTTAAGTTTTAGGGTACATGTGCACAATGTGCAGGTTAGTTACATATGTATACATGTGCCATGCTGGTGTGCTGCACCCACTAACTGGTCATTTAGCATTAGGTATATCTCCTAATGCTATCCCTCCCCCCTCCCCCCACCCCTGGAAACAACTATCTTTATACAGTGTGTGTGTTTTACCTTTTCTAGAATGCCCTATAGTTGGAATCATACAATATATAGCTTCTTGAGACTGACTCCTTTCACAAAGCAATATACATGAAAGGTTCCTCCATGTCTCTTGGTGGCTTGATAGCTAATTTATTTTTATGTTTGAAAAATATTCTATTGTGGATTTACCACAGTTTATTCATCCATTTCCCAATTGAAGAAAACGTTGAATAATTCAAAATTTTTAAGCAATTATGTATAAAGCTTTTATAAATATTTGTGTGTAGGCTTTTGTGTGAACATAAATTTTCATTTTGGTAACTACCTAGAAGTGTGAATTCTGTATTGTATAGTAAGACTATGTTAAGCTTTGTAATATACTGACATTTTTTTCCAGTGTGATGCTACCATTTTGCACTCTCACAAGAAAGAGATGAGATCTCCTGTTGCTCTGCATCCTGACCAGCATATAGGTATGTAATCATATCTCCCTATTATTTTAATATGAAATTCCCTTTGATCTTGTGCATTTTGTGCTAACTTGCTACCTATGTATCTTCTTTGGTGCAGATCTTTTGCTTAATTTTTACCTGGCAAAATTGTTTGTCTTCTTATTGTTGTGTTTTACATGTTTTTGTATATTTTAGATACAAGTTCTTTATCACATATATGTTTAGCAAATGTTTTCTTCCAGTCTGTGTCTTGTCTGTTCATTCTCTGAGTGGCAGGTTCACTTACAATTTTCATGAAGTCAACTTATTGATATTTTCTTTAATAGATTTTGCTTTCGGTGTTGTATCTAAACTTATTGTCAAACTTTAGGTTTCCTACTGTGCTGCCTTCTAGAAGTTTTACAGTATTTTGTTTTATATTAAGTCTATGATCCATTAGAGTTAATTTTTGTGAAATTTGTAAGGTCAGTGTGTAGGTTCAATTTTTGGCTAGAAATGGTCCAGTTTTACCAGCACTATTTGTAGAAAAGGCTATCCTTTCTTCCATGATTTGCTTTTGCTCCCCAGTGAAAGATAAGTTGACTATAACTGTGTGGTTATGCTTCTGGGCTCTGTTTCACTGGCTGTTTATGTTTTCGCTAATCAATAGCATTCTGCCTTTATTGCACGAGTTCTACATAAGTCTTGAAGTCGGGGAGTGTCAGTCCTATGACTTCGTTCAATTTCTTTATTGTCATGTTGGCTATTTTGAGTCTTTTGGATTTCCATATGTGATAGTTATCTTTATTTGTCAACTTGGCTGGGCCATGGGGTGCCCAGACATTTGCTCAAGCATTATTTTTGGTGTTTCTGTGAGGGTGTTCCTGGATGAGATTAACATTTACAACACCGTTAAAAGTACAACAGATTGCCCTTTTACATTGGTAAAAGTAAAACAGATTACCCTTCCTTATTAAGGGCAATCTCACTGAATTCAGTGAGGGTAGCCCTCACCAAATCAACAGAAGACCTATAAAAACACAGATACTGAGCAAGATAGAATTTCTCTTGCATGATTGTTGCGCTTGGATATTATTTGTTTTTTGTTTGTTTGTTTGTTTTATTCACCTTTGGTCTTGGAGTTAAACACTGCTTCCTCTTGGGTTTTTCGCCTGCTAGCCTTCAGACTTATATTGGAAGTGTACATTGGCTGCTCAGGGTCACTAGCTTGCTTCCTGTAGATCCCTAATGGGTACAAATACTCTACTGCTCTCTGAGGTAATTAACCTACAATGACTAAGGAAACTGCAGTGGCCTCACCTGAGAAAGTGGCTTTGCAATACAATGCTGAATATCCTCAAGATGCAACTCCAACATCCCCATTTTCTTCTAAGTGTATAACTAGACCCACTTCTTAGCAGATCCCTAAGGGTGATGTAAATTGTAACCCATGAGAAGATACACTACACTGCAAATAACTATTTGAGTTTTCTAATGTATAAAAATCAGAACCTCAAGCAATATGTGTAGGAGAGGATACTAACTCTGTGAAATAGTAATTTCATAATCATTTGGGATGATGATAGAAGAAACATGAAATTGAACCACGCTAAATTCATCGATATTTGCTCTCTCAGTAGGGGTTCTGCATTTAATGTTGCAGCTCATGGAGTTAAACAGGATGTAATAATTTGTTCGGTTGATTGGTTGAAATGTAGACCAAAAGATGGCATAGAGTAACCAAGTTGAAGATACTGAGCTCACCTTGATTTAGTGCAGATGAAGAGATTCAAAGCCTTAAGAAAATTGGAATGTTAGGTTGGACTCGACATTTGGTACATACACAACCACACAGGAAGTGTAAATAAGATATCCTTTTCAACATGGCTGTGCAAAATGAATTCGTGAGAGTAGCCATGACATCTTTGAAGGGCTCTATGATTATTTTCCTCTGTAGGCCAGAACTTACTTTGGAAACTGCAGTCACTGAATTAGAAAACCTAAAATCAAAGGGATTAATTAGATCTTGGAGTGACATGGGCCAAGTGAAGGCACACAACTTCCAAAGTCCAAGTGGAAAAAATTACTGTAATGGTCAGCAGACCAAAAATATCAGTCAGAATAGTCTGTGTCACACAGGTTTGTGACATAGGCTAGCTGCTCATGGTGTTCCTGAAAGTGAAGTAGTTAGAAAGCCTACTAAATTCTTACTCTATCGGTGTAAGCAGAAAAGATCTGGGTGAAAGGAAAAAAAGTCTAACCTGAATTTTAAACAGAGAATCATGACCAGTCAATTGATTTCTACACTTGAGGCAGTTTACTGAAACAAAATACCTTGAATAAAGGAGAGGTGTTGTCTTCATTAGAAAGGAACTCAGTATACTCTCCAAAATTTATACCGTTAATCTTTCTCCCAGCCTTCTTCAACAGGACATTTGGTCTTTTATCAGGGTAACTGTGCATTGTATAAAAGAAAATGATCAGATCTTTCAGAGACTACCAGATACTGGCTCTGAACTGGAACTGATCTCAGGAGACCCAAAATGTCACTGTGGTCCACAATTCAGAGTAGGGGCTTATGAAGAGCAAGTGGTCAATTTAGTTTTAGCTCAGGTCCATCTCAAATTGGGCCTTCTGTGTTCTGGAAGCCATCCTATGGTTATTTCCCCGGTCTTTTTAAAATTTTATTTTAAAAAGTGCATGTGCAAGTTTATTTTCCCAGTCTTGAAAATATGGTAGGAATAGATATACACAATAGCTGGCAGAGTTCTCACATTGGTTCTCTGACCTAGGGAGTGAGGGTTGTTTGGGTAGGAAAGGGCAAGCGAAACTACTAGAACTCCTTCCACCTAGGAAAATAGCAGAAACAATCACTCATCCCTGAAGGGATGATAGGGATTTGTGCCACCATCAATAATTTAAAAGATGTTGAGTTGATAATTCTTACCACATCCCCATTCACCGCCCTTATTTGAACTGTGCAAGAAAGACAGAATGACAGTGTATTAACATAAATGTAACCAGGTGTTTATTTCAGTTAAACCTGCTGTATAAGATGTAGCTTCACTGTTTCAGTAAATTAATAGATCATCTTGTATCTGGTATGCAGCTACTGATATGACAAATGCCTTTTTTTCCATTCCTGTCAATAAGAACCATCATAAGGATGTTGCTTTCAACTGACATGACCAGAAAAATGCCTTCACTGTGAGGTATATCATCTCTCCAGCCCAGTGCCATCAAGTTAGTTCATAAGGATGTCGATTGCCTTTTTTCCCCATAAGATATCACACTGGTCTGTTACATTGATGGCTTCATGCTGGTTAGACCTAGTGAACAAGAAGTTACAACTATACTAGAATTATTGGTAAGACATTTGAAATTGAATTGAAATTTGAAATTATTGGTAAGACATAAGAAATTCGTATTTCAGAGGGTGAGAAATGATTCCAGAAAAAGTTTAGGGACCTTCTCCCTGAGGGAAATATCTAGGAATTCAGTGGATTGAGGCATGTCCAGTTATTCTTTCTAAGATGAAGAACAATATGTTGCATCTGGCCTATCTTACATCCAAAAAAAAAGTGCAATGCCTAGTGGGCATCTTTAGATTTTGGAGGCCATATATTCCTTATTTGAACAGCTTGTAATACATCTTCAAACTCACTGATTCTTTCCTCTGTTCTGTCTAATCTATTGGAAAGCATATGCAATGCATTCTTCAATTTCTTTACAGTCTTTTTGATTTCTAGCATTTTCTTTTGATTCTTTTGTAGAGTTTCCATTTCTGCTTGCCTTACCCATTTGTTATTTTATGGTTTTCATTTGTCTCATGTCAAAGGTAGTTAAATTTGGCCTAAAGCTGCCTCCATACTTTGAATTCTTATGTACCAAACTGTAAGCTCAGTATGTAAACAAGCTTCAATGTATCTTAAGAGTATATTCTTGTAACAAGTGTCTGGGTCTCAACCAATCATGGCAGTCAAGCTTTATATAATCATAGGCTGCCAACTGCTCAGACTATGCCAAATAAAGCAAACTCGGAGCTATGAACAATTCAAACTTTTTCTGTAACTTACTTCTGTTATTCTGTTTTCTGACTTCAAATATTGCATGCCCACACCATGAAGCTGAGCTCTCTGAACGTCTTTTTGTACTGAGTGCTGTCCAATCTATGAATTGTTTTTGGCTCAGTTAAACTCTGCTAAATTTAATTTGTCTACTTTGTTTGTTTGTTTTACCTATTAGTGCCCTTAGCTTATTCACCATAGCTATTTTAAACTATCAGTCTGGTAATTCCAAAATCTCCGCCGTGTCTCTGTCTTGTCCTTTTGCTTGTTTCGTCTCTTCGGACTGTTTTCTCTTGTGACTTAGTATGTCTTATAATTTTTTGTTGAATGCCAGCCATTTGCATGGAGTAATAGGAACCAAGGTAAATACTCCTTTAGTGGTGAGGAGTTATGTTTATATGGCTAAAATTTCCACTTTTCTTCAGTGTTTTTACTTTTGTCAACCCTATTGTCTTTGATTTTCCCTGGAAATGTTCTCTTAAATAGTTACAGAGTTAGTTTACTCAGTTGTCATTTTCTGTTATCATACAGCATATCTGTTGGTGTGATATGAAGGTGGAGGGCAATATAAGCATTTTATAGTCCTATGATTAGGTCTCAGGCTTTCAGTGTGCCTGGGTTCTCAGGCTATGTCCATTACAAGGGCTTCTCAGTTGTTTTGTTTATTTATTGTCCCTTAGGTGAGACTAAAAAGCTAGTTGCTACTGAAGTTGGATATTTCCCTTACACTGTGTGGGTTAGGCTCTGGTAAAATAGTTTTATTTGAGCACAGGTGAAGAACAGAACATTCTAGATGTGTTTGAAAATGATTGCTTTGTCTTTGAGCTTATTGTAAATTACTTACTTTTTCCTTTTTTCCTGTGAAAGCAGAAAGACATTTTTCTCTGATCTTCACTGGAAAACCAGAAGTAAAATTTCTCCAACTGATTTCTGGAGGAAAAATTCATGAAAGTGTGGGAGCTCTCCTGAACCTTGGTCCCCAAGAGTTTTTTACCTTTCAAATTAGTCTACACTCCACCAAAAGTGGTTTGTCAATTAAAAATTAAGTTTTACTAGTCCAGTGGCTTCTGCCCCTTGTAGGCTATACTTCTCAAAATACATCTGTCTCTTCAGTTTTCAGGGCATTCCTGTGGTCTGTGATCTCATTTGTCTGAGAGATCTAAGAAGAGGTACTGACATTCAAGTTGTTCAACACTTATCTTGTTTAGACAATGGCAGTGACAAGTTCCAGTTTATCTTAACATTTTGCCTCAGAAATCAGAAGTGTCTGAATTTCTTTTTTTTATTTACACATACATAAGATTATGATGGGCCTTTACAATAATCATTTTTAGTGTTTTTTGCTATTTCTTAGATACTGTACTTAGTATGATTAAATTGGAGAATAATGTATATAATTATATGTTGTTTATATAACTATATATAACATAGAGAATGATTTATATAATTATAAAACAGATATATAATTTCCAATGAAGAAAAGGCAACTAGTGAACAGACGTATAAAGTCAAAACGAATTTCAACAACAGCAATAACACGAATAGCAAATAAATAGTATAAATTATGCTTTTACCTAATATCCATATTTTAAAGTGATATTATCCAGTGCTGACATGGATGTGCTGAAACTATTCTTCTTCTACAATATTTTAACAAGATAATTCTCTGTATGTGACAATAGGCTTTCCTTTCAGTTCTCTTGGGGTGGCAATGAGGGATTGATCTAATTTCTGATACATACTTGTATGTATTAATAAATAAAATTTACCAATCAGGGATGATTTGTATCAAAAACAAGATTCCACGTTAACATAGTTGATGAGCTTGTTTAGCATGTTGCGGTGGATTGCGGTTTTGTTGAATTTTTACCCAGATTATCCTATCTACTATTTCTTTCCTTAATACACCTTCCTCTTCAACTTAAACACCAGTGCTTACGATTTAAAATCATCCTCTCCTCTTGCTTAAATGCCTTATCCCATCTATTTATTTTACATATATCAACTGAGTAAATACTAAAGCCAACATATTTCCAGATGCTTGATATGCCTATAACATTCATAACCATGTAAAGCCTATGATCCAGTGAGACAGACAATAAATCATGGATCATAACAAATTAGTAAAATATAAATTATGTTATAAAAGACTATATCTATGGTAATTATGCTTATGTTACAAATGATGAGAGCAGAGTAAGGGGTTAGGAGTCACAGAGTATTTTCGTCAGTAATAAGACCATTTTAGAGATTGAGATTTGAGCAAGGATTTAAAGTGGTTAAGACAGATAAACAAATTTTCTTCTGAGGGAAGATATACCTATGCAGAGGAAATTGTAGAACACATTTCTTAAATGGCGGAATGTACTTATACAAAGTAATGAAGTCATTTGTGTAGATCGAAAAAAGTGAGCAAGGACAAATTCATAGGAGATGAGTCCTGTGAGATAACAGGAAACTCAATTAGGAAGGGATAGGCTTTGGATTTGAGTAAAAATGGGAGCAAGTGGAGGGTTGTAAGCAGAATAATTACTAATTTAACATATGTTGAAAGAAACACTGTGGCTGATGTCAAGAATATAAAAAGGCTGTACTCAGGATGTTATTAGGTTTATCAGACACCATTGTTCAGGGAAGAAGAACCACTATGAACCATGAAATGGAGGTTTGTTTTAGATACTAGGCTTTACATAATTATTGGAGAAAATTTAGAAATAAAAATTTAAAGAAAGTTTTAGAAACTAGGAGGAGCCACAGACAAGTTAATTTGACAAGAAAAACATATCTAGAGGTTCTAGTGGGGGCCTTAAAGTAGCAACGAGTATAGTAATCCATGGCAGATATTTGGGAGTCAAAAATGCAGTATTTGGTGATGGCCTGAGATACACAGCTTCAAAAATTAGGAAGCAGACACAGTGATGGGAAGAGCAAGCTAAAACACAGCTTACCAGTCCATATGCTTTTGTCTGAATTAATTAACATGTCCTCAGAGAACACTGGCTGCTGCTTCCATTTTTTCCCCCAAATCTCACAAAAGAAATCCTTTAAGCCTATTGTTACCCTGCATCTTTGAGAAAGAAAAATCTATGAAAAGTATTTTTTGCATAATCTAGTTGACAATAAAATGATCCACAGCAGGCAGTGATAGATATAACTTAAAAATAGAAGTATTAAAAATTCTTGATATTTTAAAGGGGGGAGAGACAGGGGAAAAGTAGAGTAAAGGATAATTCTAAAACTTTTGAATGAACAGTTCAATAACTGGCTGCTATCAAATATATTGGCAAATTTTGTGGGAGATAGGAATGAGGAACTCAATTTGGACATGTTGTGTTGGAGAAATCTATTAAGTATTCAATTGTAGAGGTCACATAAATATTTAGATAAATGAGTCTAGAATTTAAGACAGAATTCTGAGCTTCTGAGTTTTAAATGTGGTATCCATCAGCATTCTGGCAATATATGAATCCAAGAAAAACGATAAGGTGACCAATGTTATGAGTGTAACATGATGATCAGCTCTGGTGTAGGCCAACATTACCAGTTTTGGGAGAATGAGAAAGTCTAGCAAAGTAATTGAAAGTAATCAAACAATGAATGCACACAAATATCCACAGAATGTGTAGTCCTGGAAATTAAGTGATAAATGGAAGTAGTAAAGTTGACTGATGAAAAGCAGATATAAGATAATTTGGGGAAAAGAGCAAATTAGAGGATTTAAATGTGAATTTTATATTAGATGATATTTTGAATTTTTGTGTGATAATAATCTGGTTGATATGTGGGATAATGATCTTATTTATAATAGATATATATAACTGGAGATACATTTTCAGTGTCATAATAACTACAACTTTTGTTCCAGTGGTCTGGCAAAATTAAGCCACATTTTACTTGTGGTGAATCTAGGATAAAGAACACGAGTGTAAAACTTTAGGGTAGAAAGTAGATTGATGTCAACTACATTATATACTTCAGATTAGTGAGAAAATGAAAACTGTTAACCATTAGGTTAGCAATATCGAGGTAATTTGTGGCCTTTATCAAACCAGTTGCTATGGAATGATGAGACAATATTTTATTTGAAATGGGGTTAGGAGAGAATGGGAGAAAAGGAATTTGAGGCAGTAAGCATAGAATCACTTTTGGGAGGAGTTAAAAGAAAGCAAATTACTGGGCAGTATATTGCACAGATGTGTGGTCAAGAAAATATGTGAAACTTTAAGACATGAGAAATAACTTGTTTCTATATTGATGGAAATGATTTGAGAAAGAAAAAAATCATCATTTCCCCATTGCTTATTTTGGTTGACTTTGTTGAAGATCAGATGGGTGTGGGTGCACAGCATTATTTCTATGTTCTCTATTCTGTTCCATTGGTCTAAATGTCAGGTTTTGTACTGGTACCATGCTATTTTGATTACTGTAGTCTTATAATATAGTGTAAAGTCCAGTAATGTGATACCTTCAGCTTTGTTTTTTTTGCTTAGGATTGTTTTGACTACTCAGGCTCTTTTTTGACTCCCTGTGAATTTTAGAATAGTTTAGTCCCAATTCTGTGAAAAATTATATTTGTAGTTTGATAAGAATAGCATTGAAACTTTAGACTGCTTTAGACCGTATGAAAATTTTAGTGGTATTAATTATCCCAACCCATGAGCATGGAAAGTTTTTTCATTTGTTTATGTCATCTATGATTCCTTTCAGCAGTGTTTTGTGTGATAATCTGGTTGATATGTGGGAGAATGATCTTATTTATAATAGATATGTATATAACTGGAGATACCTTTTCAGTGTCATAATGACTGCTAGAATCTATAAAGAATTAACATTTGAGCAACAAATAACAAATAGTCCCATTAGAAATTGGGCAAAATACATGGAGACACTTCTCAAAAGAAGACATATAAGCGGGCCTCAAACATATGAAAAAAATGTTTAACATCACTAATGATCTGAGAAATGCATCAAAACCAAAATGGGATAGCATTTAACACCAGTCATTATGGCTGTTACAAAATAGTCAAAAAACAGTAGACATTGGCAGCGCTGTGGAGGAAAAAAGAACACATATACACCATAGGTGGGAAGGTAAATTAGTCCAGCCACGGCAGAAAGCAGTTTGGTGATTTCTCAAAGAACTTAAAGCGGGCTACCCCATGATCCAGCACTCCCAATACTAAGTATACATCTAAAAGAAAACAAATCATTCTACCAAAAAGACACATGTACTCTCATTTTCATCAAGCGCTATTAACAATAGCAAACACATGGACTCAACCTAGATGCCCCACAATGGTGGACTGGATAAAAACATGTGGTATTTATACACCATGGAATACCATGCCTCCATAAAAACGTATGAGATTATGACTTTTGCAGCAACATGGATGTAGCTAGAGACCACTACCCTAAGCAAATCAACACAGGAACAAAAAACAAAATACCACATATTCTCATTTAAAAATGAGAGTTAAACCTGGGGTACTCATGACATAAAGATGGTAACAACAGACACCAGGAACTACTAGGGGAGGCGGGGAGGGAAACAAGTGTTGACAAAGTAATTATCGGACACTATGGTCAGTACCTGGATAATGGAATCATTTGTACCTCAAACTTCAGCATCATGCAATATACACATACAACAAACATGCACATGTACTGCCTGAACCTAAAATAGAAGTTGAAAAAATATGTATTTTAGTTTTGATAAATAGTGTCAAGGAGTATACTTTTAATCACCGTTTGTGCACATAAATTGTTTGTACCCAAATACTCACTGCAACATTACTTTGTTAAACAAAATAATAATATTATGAATAATTAACCAATACATTTGGTAACATACACATAATACAAACAAAAAAGATCCTATAGAAGATAATAGGGAGACCTGCTGAACTGATTGCCTTGAGTTAGTTAGAGGGTTGAATGTGGTTAAAAGCAGTGGCTTGGTATTCAATAAGATAATCAATATTTCACTTATGTTAAGTGGGAAAGGCAGAGTATATTGGGGCAGACTCCTGCATGTAGTTAGTAGTCTTCTTTCTTTGAAGTTATTTTTTTCCTTGCTTCACTTTCCTCAGTGAAGAAAAAACAAGGTACTCACTTAGTAGTCAGAATGTTACTGTGTGTGTGTGTGTGTGTGTGTGTGTGTGTGTGTGTGTGTTGTGTTCTGAGGGTGGGTGTCCAAAGGATTGAAGACAGTGATGAAAGATCAAATAGTCCTCTATGAGAGAAGGAAGACATGTGATTTAATTTTCTTGCAGCTTTAAGACTGCATTTTGAACAATTTGAAATTGTTGGTCTTGTAACTGTTTTTCCAATACAGACATTTCAACTGTACGTGAAAAACACAAAGTAGTAAAATAATTGGATTTAAACAGCACTGTGCTTTAGCAGGTAAGCAGAAGAAAAAAGGAGATAGGCACCCGAGTTCGGAGAAGTTTAAACATACGTGAGAGGTTAGAAAATGGAAAAAAAAAAATAAGATAAAAATACAAGATTAAGAACATGGAGGAAAAAATATATTGTTCTATCTAAATTCTGCTCATAAAGCACACCAAAACTTAATGGTTTGAAACTTAGTGGCTTGAATAACTTACGTTATTCTCATAGTTTTACAGCTCAACAATTTGGGCAGGGCTCAAGGAGATAATTCTTCTGCTTCACATGGTGTCATCTGGGACAGTCATTGAGTAATATTCAGCTGGCTACTGAGCTCAAGTTTACAAGATGGTTTCTGTTATCCGAAAGGTGCCTTGGTGAAGATGACTGGCAGCCTGGTCTAAGCTGGGCTCTTATCTCTACCCAGGTAATCTCAAGGCCTTTCTACCTGGTCTTTCAGCTGAGTATTCAATTTCTTAAACAGTAGCTAAGGGCTCAAAGACTGGAAGTTCTGAGAAAGTCTATGCTATTAAGCTGCAAAGCTATTTACACCTTGATCTTGGTAGCTATTACATGTTACTTTTGACATACTCCAGTGGTCAAGCAATCAGTAAGACCAGCCCAAAATCAATGGAAGAGAAAGTAGAAAAATTTATTTTTTTCCAGTTTCTCCACTTTTCAATAGGAAAGAGAGACTCTAAAAATAACTTACTAGAACCCTATGGCTAAAATATGTTTATATTTTTCTCACATGAAAATACATTTACTTCTCTCATTGTCTCCAAATGTCTCATCCAATTCTGCTTTCAGATAAAAGTATAGGATCCGTTCACCTGTATCAAATCCAGCTGGGGTTGAGTTTCTTCAGCCATGGTTTCTATGTCAGAAGTTTCTTGAGTAATGTCAAGTGTTGCTTCCTGGTCTTGGCTCCGTGTTCTGATTCTACTTTCCATTTTCCTAGTTAATGGATGGTCTTTGCAACTGAATAGATATTTCATCCAAGCCAACATCCTACTTGTAGAAGTTTGGAAGTACAAACTCCTCTTTTTAACTTTGTAAATTTTTATTTTATTTTATTTTATTTTTGAGACGGAGTCTCACTCTGTTGCCCGGGCCAGGCTGGAGTGCAGTGGCATGGTCTCAGCTCACTGCAACTACTGCCTCGCAGGTTCAAGCAATTCTCCTGCCACAGCCTCCTGAGTAGCTGGCATTACAGGCACGCACCACCACATCCAGCTAATTTTTGTATTTTCAGTAGAGACAGGGCTTCACCATGTTGGCCAGGCTAGTCTCGAACTCCTGACCTCAAGTGACCCACCCACTTCAGCCTCCCAAAGTGCAGAGATTACAAGCGTTAGCCACCGCGCCTGGCCCACCATTTTTTTCTTTTCCAATTCAAGCTTATAAAATACCTTCTTATGTTCCAAGTTTACATCCACTGATTTAGAAAAAGACCTGCTCTCAGTCTCCTTTCTTTGCAAGACAGAATTTCCTCTACCTCCACTTCAGAGTCAGTGCTATGGTCAATTGATTAAGAATCTTAGACGTGCTTTGTCTAGTTGAAAGGATGTATGAGCCTTAGTATACTTAATGTTGTTCCTACCTTAAATTATTCTGAGATTTAGACAAAAAAGATCTTACAGTTCAATTTCCTGATACTTTTACTCTTTATCTTTTTGTAGTGCATTGATTATTGAACATTTGCACTAAATCCACTTCTTAAGTGTTAATGTGTTTTTTGGGAGAAACTTCATAAATCATTTATTTTTGAACAGAGAACATCCTAGCTCCTTTATATTTCCTCTAAATTCTACTTGAACATTGATTTTGTTGTTGTTGTTGTTGCTTTTTATTTGTTTGTTTCAGCTTATCTTTCTCCATCTATACCTTAATGCAAGCAAGTAAAAGAAATCCATGGTCATATGTAGCATCCAACCTGGGAGTCCCCATAGCTACATCCACATGTTAATGAGCCATATTTTCTATTTTCCATGTGACCATATGCGACACTTTTACTAAAGCTTCTGCCACTTGGCTAGTCTAGGCCAACATAATTTCTTCTATGTACTGCTGCAATTTTCTTTTAATTATTTTCTTATAACTAGGACTTAATTCCATCTAATCTATTTTCCAAACTACATATACAAAGAATCATTTAAAATGCAAATCAGATCAAGTTTTAATTTGCATAAAGAAATTCTTCAGGAAATCCCGTCTTGCTTTTTTAAATTAAGTCTCAAGTTTTTAACAGAGCTTACCTGGCCCTGAATAATTTGACATTTGCTTCTCTCTCCAACCTTATTTCCTGCCTTCTACAAAGCATCCCGCAAGTAATCTATTATATAGCAAAATTAAATGTTTTTCATTTCCTGAATGACTCCATTATTTCCTTTTATGCTATGTTTTGTACAAAATGTTCTTTTTTACTACTACTTCCACTTCCATTCATGATTCATTCACCTTGCCAAATTTTTCTCATTGTGGAGGGATAATTTCCTTTCACTAGCCTTATATGATGCCCTTAGGTGAAGATTACGTACACTTTATTCAAACACTTTATCACAGAGTATTTTAAATGAGTTTTCTATTAAATTGTATGTTCTATGAAGGAAGGCATGTTTTCTGTTATTTTTCCTGTGTTTTCTCCGACTATTAATGCTGAGTCATTTACTTAGTAGCCTCTCATATTTGATAAAGAAGTAAATTAATGCATACATGAATTGTGGACTATATTTCTGAGTGAGGCATGATATTTGTCCAGGTTATCCTGGCTTCCATCCTAGCTCTTTCCATTATTAACTATACGAATAGTGTATATAATGTTCAAATTTCCCATTGTTAACACAGAGATGATACCATCTCACAGGACTGCGTTTCTTAGGGCATAACATACTTCTCACTCCAAAGGCTACCTTTAAGGGAGAGAATGTCTCTTCCTCTCCCCAGAAGAGAAATAGTAGATACAATATTACAGGCTTTCCTTGTCCCTTCTTTTACTTCTCATATTTTTCTCTTATTATTTTGGACCTCATTCATGTAGCAACCATTCCTTTTGGTCATGTAAAAAAATAAACGTTTTATGTAGTTTCTATGTAGTTGCCCAGCAGTGTTCTTTCTAGGAGCACAGGGTCATTATGTCTCACAACAAATCTAAATTTTTGATCTCTTGTTAGTACTCAAATTGTTTGATTTTTCTTCCAGCGTGTATATATATATATATATATATATATATACACATATATATATATACATATATATATATTCTAATGCAAAATGACAAGGACAGAGTTTTTTTTAATGTTCTACAACTTCCATGGAAATATATGTTGCAGGAAAATATTAATGGTGAGAAATCTGGTATAACTATATTACTATCAGATGAAGTAGATGTCTGGAGAATAAATGCTACAAGGAAACAGAAATACACTTTATAAAACCAACAATTTCCCGGATATTTTTGGTTAAAAA
Organism: Homo sapiens; assembly: GCF_000001405.40. Classification (NCBI taxonomy): domain Eukaryota; kingdom Metazoa; phylum Chordata; class Mammalia; order Primates; family Hominidae; genus Homo; species Homo sapiens. Next base: position 87,287,117 of record NC_000013.11, on the reverse strand, counting down.
TGTTGTATAATCATCAGAAATATTTAAATTAAAGCAATATGTAGAAAACGTGTTTCTTATACTCAGCTGAAAGGATTTGGACTTTAATTAAAATCATTATGAGGAAATAAGAGATTTGCAAAATGGCAAAAAAAAAAACCCTATTCAATTTTCTTTTTCAAAATGTGAGTATCAGTTAAAGAATGACAGATAACAACAAATGGAAAAGGAATTTAAAGTCACTCTGGATTTCATGTCTTCTGAGACTGTACCTCTCTTCTTCAGAGACTTTAAATTCCTCTCTCTGATCTGTCATAAGACATAGGCATTTTCTTTCTCTCAAAATAATGTCGTTGTTTTTCATATTGATTGTTGCAACTTACACTCCCACCATTAATGCATGAATTTTAATTTGTGCTTCCCATACTGATGAGACTTTGAAGATTTTACCTGAACATGTTGCATTGTTTAATACTTTCACTGACTTTGAACAGATTTTCATAGCTTGATTCCTATACCAAATTTTTCTTTTGTGACCATAAGCTTAGTTTTTTCCTTAGCCCTTATTTTTTTGTGGTTGTCATTGTTTTTCTGCTGTCTTGCTTTATTTTCATTATTTTTTTGCACACAGTTTAAATGTCTAGGACACTATTTCTTGGCTGACATATGTATTACAGTATTCTTTTTTCTGCTGGTTTTTCATTTGTGTTTGAACTTTAATATATTTCCTGTCATAGTTTGTCTTTTTTGACTAGACTTTCATTGTATGCCTCGATTAGATTTTATTTTTGACATTTTTAGGTAATCTATGTATGCAGCTTTAAAAATTTATTTATAAGTTATAATTTTAAAATGTACTCTTCCTAAGTAACTTATTTTTTCTTGCTAATATGAATGAAATTATTTTCAAAATATGTATTATATTTTCTAAATGATTACTATTGGTGTGATGGATCTTTTTGATTGGTGTGTATTGGTGCCATGGCCAGAAACAATGTAATAATTCCCATTCCCATCCTTTCTTCTTTCTGTTTTGGTAGATTCTCCACATTAATGCAAATATTACTAAATTTATTTTGATAAAGTATTAATTACTATAGCATTCTTAATTATGTCAAACTGATACATATTTATTTTTATATACTTTTTAAAAGTTTAAAATGCCATTATGCTTTTGATAAAATAAAAAATAGGTTAGGCCATCTTCTTTTTATTCTATTCACAAAAGCAATTTTTATAAGCTATAAATATTTTGGTAAAATTTGTTATACGTGTGTGTGTATATATATGTGTCTTGTGTGTATATATATATACACATATATATATACACATACATACATATACTAAGAAGGTATCTGAGACAGGTGTCAGTCAATTTAGAAAGTTTATTTTGCCAAGGATAAGAATATGCCTGTGACACGGCCTTAGTAGGTCCTGATGTCATGTGCCGAAGGTAGTCAGGGTACAGCTTGGTTTTATCCATTTTAGGGACATATGAGACATCAATCATATATGTAAGGGAGGACTACTGAGGCAGTGGTGGGGGTAATCGAGGAGTTAGAGGTGGGGGCTTCCAGGTCATAAGTCGATAAGAGACAAAAGGTTGCATTATTTTGAGTCCTTGATCAGCCTTCTACTGAATACACAATTGAGTCTGGCTCACTGAATCCACATTTTTACATAAACAGTAGAGCAGAGGAAGCAATCAGATATGCATTTGTCTCCAGTGAGCCTCTGAGGGAACACTTTGAGTTCTGTCTGTCCTCTTTGCACAAGGAATTTTCTTGTGGACAAATTGTGAGGGAGGTATGTAGTTTCTATCTTTGTAGCAATCTTATTTAGGACTAGAATGGGAAGCAGGTTTGTCTGACATAGTTCCTAGCTTGACTCTTCTCTTGGCTTAGTGATTTTGGGGTCCTGAGAGACTTATTTTTCTTTTCATATGTAGATACATATGAAAATTCATATACACACAGATATACATATATATATATATATATATATAATTTTCTTTTAAAAGACATTGACTTCATGACAGCAGAGGGAGGAGGTATTAACTATAGTTTAATTTTAAGGATTCTTAATCTTAATTTTTTTTCTTCTTGAGTCATTTAAAAATTGTCTAATCCTTTCATATTTTTATAGGCTTTCAAACTTATTTATTAAACATGCCACTGCAAATAGAAATAGTGACCATATCTGTGTTTATCTCACATTTTATTGTATTTTGAAACAGGGTCTCGCTCTGTTGCCCAGGCTTGAGTGCAGTGGTAATAATCTCAGCTCACTGAAACCTCTGCCTCCTAGGTTCAAAGGGTTCTCCTGCCTCAGCTTCCTGTGTAGCTAGGACTACAGGTGTGTGCTACCAAGCCAGGGTAATTTTTGTACTTTTAGTGGAGAAAGGGTTTCACCATGTTGGCCAGGCTGATCTGAAACTCCTGACCTCAAGTGATCCGCCCACCTCAGCCTCTCAAAGTGCTGGGATTACAGGCGTGAGCCACCATATCCAGCTCACAGTTTAATATTTAATGTCCTTAGTCTGTTTCTTTTTCCTTTCTTCCTTCCTTCTTCTCTTTATTTTCTACTTGCTTATCTCTCTAGAGGTGTGTATAAAAATAAAAGTCACAAGTCTCCGCTCTCAATTTCTGGAAACTGCCTGTCCAGAGAATGGGATCAGTGACTAGGTCAGGGGTATTCTGTAATTGACCACTGTTAAGGAAACTAGATGAAAATTACCTCTTTGCTGTTCTGGAAAGATCAAGAAAAAGTGCAGAAGGGTAGGTATTGAACCAGAGAAATAAGCGTTGCTAAATGACATATCTATCTGTGTGTGGCTGACTTATCCATGAGTTATTTCTGAGCTCATACATTCTGTTCTTGCAAGCTGTCAGCCTAGGGTAGGTATTGAACCAGAGAAATAAGCGTTTTTAAATGACGTATGTATCTGTGTGTGGCTAACTTATCCATGAGTTAGTTCTGAGTTCATACATTCTGTTCTTGCAAGCTGTCAGCCTATACGAAAAGATCTGAATTTGTCTTATAAACATCCCATGGGTGATAAAGCCCACCATTGAGGATAGACTGTGTAAACTCAAAGATTGACATAAATTTTAAAATGGCATTGTCAAAAATAAGAACTTATCAAAAAGAAGATCTTTAAAAAAACAACTTTAGAAAAGTCATTTATAACACTCTTCTCCAACTTTGTAGTCTGTACTTTTGTTTGTGAAAGCATTTTCACCTGCAGATGAGCCAAAAATAGGTATCTGATATGAAGTAGAAGACTGCTTGCTCAGTGCTATTGCTTCCAAAGAATACTTTTTGGATGAGCATCAAGACCTTTTAGGGATTGCAAATATTTATTGGAGAAAGTATAACTTGGTGTGTTAGCTGTAGCAGAACTAAAACTCAAATAATCAATACCGACTTATGTGTTTTTTAATGCTCTGAACTCTGAAAAAATAGAGAAATTCTATATACACAATGTGGAGGATTTTAGTCTATCTAAAATAGAATCATAATAAATTCATAAACTGGCAATTTTCATGTTTGAAGCCCATTTTGAGGAATTTATCACTGTAGACCCTTGAAGATTTTGCTTCTCCTCACTTACCTTTTAAATTTTTATGTGGTATTTTGTCTCAGTATGTTATAAAAAAAACAGTGTCTGTAAGGAAGGCCTAAGACTAATGCTCATGCCTTCAGAAGCTAATATTTATGGAAATGAAGATGAAATAGGTGATGCAAAAGAAAGAACACAAAATTTTGCAGAGAATTTTGGGACATGATAACCCTTTATCTAGAATATCACGATGTGGGGAGAAAAAAAAACAAAATTCTTTTGAGCATATATGTGGAAGATATTATACATAGACATATACAAGATCCTGAAGATGAATAAACATTTTACTTCCTGAGTGTGTGGGTATGGTCATGGGTTTGCAGATATTTTCACTAGAGAGCATGACACTATTTTGAAAGACTGATATGGTACAGGATACAGACACTATAACACAATTGTGTGAGCCTTTGGGATGTTAAATATCTTATACTTCCCTTCTCTTGGCTCATAAGCAGTAGAGTTCATGGAATCAGCTGGTGGGTCTGAACTAAGTACTAATGACTCCATCAGCTTTTATTATTCTAACTTGTATCTCTAAGATGAGGTGGCCTATGAAAACACTGCTTTTTTTAAGTTTAAAAATTCTTTTTTTATTATTATTATACTTTAAGTTTTAGGGTACATGTGCACAACGTGCAGGTTTGTTACATATGTATACATGTGCCATGTTGTACTTTAGAGTTGATCTCCGTGTTCATCTAGACCTTTCTTCTTGAAAAATAGTATTAAAATAATGAAATGTACTTGAATATAAATGCTTTCAATAAATATTATACCATATGTTATCTGAAATCCAGCCCATGTTAGCTCAAAATTTTATAACTTTATTTCCACTTTTGCCAAATCCAGCTCTCTGAAATCAATTTTACACAATACTTGCAAAAAATAAAGCTCATTTATTCTTGCAAACTCCTCAGATTGCCTCACAGTTCTCTGCTTTATTTTTATTTTTATTTTTAGAAAAAACAGTTCCAAGTCTCTATCTTCTGAAATGCTTAACTCTGTTTCTTCAAAAGATCATATTGAGAGAGTAATGCCTCAAGAAAAGGCTGGAAATTTCCTGAAAAGTATCCTAAGCCTACCTCAGTTGCTTTTTTGTTTTGTTTTTTTCCTTTGTTTAAGGGGTCGAGCTGAGAATGGAACACTATTTTTTTGTTGTTGTTGTTCATGGGTAAGTTGGGATTGGAAGTTATCAAAACAAAATCAGTGATTCTGGAAGCAAGATATAAACAGCATGAACTAGCTTTCCTCCTTTTCTAAATGTTAGAGAAAAAGGCTGAGTGAGCATCAGCCGCAAACTTCTGTAAAGAGGAAAGAAAGTATGATAGCTTGTGAGAAGTTCAAGTGTCACTTGCTAGTCTCGGCTCTCTTAGTAAAAATACAAGTAAAACGAAAAACACCTTTGTACGTGGATTACGATGTCAAACAATCAGAATTAGTAGTCTATTTGAGAGAAGAATTAAAGATTTTAATCTAATTTCTGCCTATATTTTTCAATGCATATATATAAGCTAGTTATAACGTGATCTTATTGTACTCAATTAATAAAAACCAAAAAGACCAAGGAGATGAATTCTTAGAGATGTAGATTAAATCAATAACTAAATTATAAAAGTAAATATTTGGGAGGCCATCTTTTGCTCAGTGTGTCTTTGCCTTCAACGAACAATATCTGAGTGAGCATCCAGAGCTTTTGGAGACTGTCCGTATTGTATCGGCAAGAGAATGTAACTAAGTATTTTTCCTGGACCCTCTTAAACTCTAATTGTTTTGAGTATGGAAATAGAGAACATCCTCTCTGAAATATTATAAACTCTATCCTTTTAGGAAAGGTTAAAAAGCAAGGACAAATATGCAGTAGGTCCTTGCTGTCACACAGCAAAACCATTAACCTCACAGCACTTTTAAATTTTTTTTTTTAATCTAGAGATTATCTTTTCAAAAATAGCCAAAAATTTAATAACAACAATCTAAATGTTTTATTTCTAATATTAAGACTGTTTATAGGCACAACATATGGTATGAAAATATTGGCTAATTTTTTATCGACAATGTTTTGAATGAACAGCCTGTCTCTCTACTAGCTACTACTTCCATTTGTATGAAAATTTGTTGAAACTATTATCTATTACAGAATATCACCAGCTTTATTTAATGAGAGGAGTTGCTACTCAGCTGCAACATAAAATGTTTTGCTTCATGAAGCAAGTTCAGATTTAGATTCAAACTCATTAAATATTTCAAGAGTGTATTATGATAACAAACTAGAGGAGAAATTGCCAGGTTTTACTGTTTGGAAAATTAGGGAGCAGGAATGATTGATGTAAGTTCCTACTGCCTTTAAAGATAAAAGTAAGTTTGCATAAAACTAGGGTTATGCTAGCGGGTAGAGAAATACTGAATGCTATTACAAAGACAGGTGAATAGACAAAGATATACAGCTCAATATCCCAATGCCATAACAGAAATTCTGGAAGCAGTTAGCTCTTGTGGCTAAGATAACTCATTGTTCAAGAGCAATGTTAGATATGTTTGGGCCTTTCAAATTGATAGAATAAATTAAATTAAAGTAGATTCCTGAGTGTTGTACTTCAGGTTATGCCTTGTACATCCAAGAAATGTATACAGGACAAAAAAAGGTGATGATTTATTATTTCAGTATATATTCATGGTATGCAGAATCAGTCCTAGGTTCTATGGTAGACACAAAGGATACACAAAGTTTATAAAAATAGGCTTGAGGAATCACAAATGCAGGGCACAACATTCCATTCTGACAATCCAACTGGGAATGTTCCAGAATTTAAATTTTTAAACAGGAAGTTGTTAATTAAAGCTACAGAAAAACTAACATTCTTCTAGTCTGTTATGTACTTCTCTTTCGTGAATTAGCCAGAGGCACAGCGGAATTGAAGAGTGGGGATTGCTATCCTTCCACATAAACAGTTCGAATGCAATGTTTAATTGCCAGGTCTTCAGAGAAAAGGATGTGGTGACATCAGTCAAATCTTTCTTGACCCTCTCTCTCTCTCTTTGTCCTACAAGATAGAAGTGACTACTTAGAAGAATCAGAAGGATACCTCTTGGATGGTGGCTCAACTGCTGCTGGACGTAATACTTCAGTTGTTTATTTAAAAGTTAAGTTTGTTAACGACTCAGTTCCTGTAATATTGACCTCTAGTGGTCATGGCCTATGGTCGATTGTTCCAGTGGTACTTTTCCATAATGTTTGCTATAAATAGGAACATGTTCACTATAACTTCACTTTCTTCAAGGCCCCCTTGTACTCCTAAAAACTATTGAAGAACACAAAGAGCTTCTTTAAGTATAGGTTTTATCTACTGATATTGATCATAGTCAACGTGGTGTCCCATCACTGTTGCACACTAAGACACACGTCACCCTCATTTGGAAGCGATGAAAAGCAAGCTTTTTTTTTGTTTGTTTAATTATCAGATAGCAGCAGCAGCTACTTAAAAAATCTTTTTTCAAAGCATTAGTAAATTATGGGATAACAAGGGTTGATGTGAGAACAAAGAAGAAATTGGCAAAAAATCAGAAGTTCATCCAGTAGTAAGTGAATATTTAAAAACAAAACAAATGGACTATTCTTATGATAAATTATAATTATTTGAGAAGAATTTGAGGATGTTAGGAATATTAGTAGAGTAGGTAATATTGGAGCTAGAAAAAATGCTATTTAAAAAAGACTTTTTATAATAATTTTTCATACATTTTATACTTTCAGGAGTAGCCTTGTTGACATGAATTTATAGATTCCTTTAAGACTCTCAAAATATTTTAAAGTCATATCCAAAGATAAACATTACTTATACTGTATCTGCTGCTATTACTACTACTACTACTACTACTATTAACAACTAGCACTAATTGTCCTCCCACTACCGTTTTGAGCCTTTGTTTTCTTACTCAAATGCTTCTTCACTCCTTTAACTGAAGAAGAAACTGAGCAATGTGACCAAGAACACAAAATAACAAGTGCAAAGATGAAGCGAGTGCCACATGTCATGATTGTTGTTTTCATCTCTCAGTGGCCTTTGTTCATAGAATAAGTATTAATGTTCAAATATTTTATATAGGTCTCAAGTGTCTCATTTCTATGCTTCAAATAGTATACTTGGAAAACAGTGACTGCTCCACCAGAATAAAAGGGTTTCTGATTGGTTTAAATAGTACAATTTATGGAAATCCTTTATGAAATTTAAAAATATACATGGAGTCTTTGTAAATCAATATGAAGTTGAGCTTATATAGAAGAAAAACGAAAATAAGTACTTTTATGTTTGGCAATTTACTTCAGGGTTCTTAACAAATCCTTAAATTTCTCATCACTCAAAGGCAGCCAGGTGCAGTGGTTCATGTCTGTAATTCCAGTCACTTGGGAGATGGAGGCAGGAGGGGTTGCTTGAGTACAGGTGCTCCAGGCTGTATTGTGCTATGATTGTGCCTATGAGCAGCCAGTGCTCTCCAGCCTGGGCAACAAGGCAAGACCCCATCTCTTAAAAAAAATGGTTTTTAAAGGCATTATCAAATTGTTGTTGTTGTTTTGGTTTTTTTTTGTGTGTGTGTGTGTGAGTGAGTGTGTGTGTGTATGTGAGATGGAGTTTCCCTCTTGTTGCCCAGGCTGGAGTGCAATGGCGCAATCTCAGCTCACCACAACCTCTGCCTCCTGGGTTCAAGCAATTCTCCTTCCTCAGCCTCCCGAGTAGCTGGGATTACAAGCATGAGACACCACGCCTGGCTAATTTTGTATTTTTAATAGTTACGGGGTTTATCCGTGTTGATTAGGCTGGTCTCGAACTCCCGACCTCAGGTGATCCACCCACCTCGGCCTCCCAAAGTGCTGGGATTACAGGCATGAGCCACCCTCCCAGCCCGAAATTTAACAATGGCATTATTATAAGAATTAAATGAGTCAATAAAGGGCTTAATAGAGAGAAGATAATATTTAATTAGTGGTATTCCTATTTAGAGTAGTGGATAAGGTAGTAGTAATAATGGAAGTATACTAGCGGTAGAAGAGCAGCAGTATAGCATAGTTAGAGAAAAAATTGTTATTACTTTACAATTTTTTTTGAAAAAAAGTCAAATCCACGAACGAATTTATACCCCTATTTTTTGACTTAGTATTTTGTATATTTTCTCTTTTCCTCACACCTGTATGTGCTCAATCATCAATGTGAATTCTTTACATTTTAAAATTTCTGAAACTGAATATGCATCTGAAAGCAACATCTCCCTGATATAGCTAGAATTTGTGTTTGTTTGTTTCTTCTTACAGTATATTGACTTAAAAAGAAAACCTTTAGGTGTTATACGTATCATTTTACTGTCTTGTTTTCAATCTTCTCTTCATTTTTTCATTCCATTTACATTTTCCTAAAATATATATTTAAGAGTAATGTTTTGAAAGGTTTTACCATATATTATTTAAAAATACTTTCTAACATAATCAGGTTATTTTTGGTCTTCACTAATGTGAACATAACCACTTTGTCATTTCACATAAATCTTAGTGAATAGCTCTTCTTTTAATTCATCTTGAGATGATTTTTATTAGTGGAATTTTATTGTCAAATGATATAAATGTCTTTCTTATTGGGAAGAATGATTTTCTTTAGCTTACTTTTAACTTAACTTTGAATTTTAAAAGATATATATAAATATATATAAACTTTTTTTAGAATATAAACAAAATACAGATAAGCAAAAGATGATTATCTTACCAATTATAAGTAGTTAAGAACATCTGCATATTTTTTTCTAACAATAATATTTTCAGTCACATAGAACACAATATTCTTAATTTTTAACTTAATAGTACGTTATAAATGGGAATTGTACCTTTGAAAATACCTACACTGTATTCTTTTGTTGTTGTTTTGAAATTCTTTAATTTTCTTTTTAAACATTTTTTTTTCTATACAAACGTATGGGGTACATGTGAACTTTTGTTCCATGTGTACGATGTGTAGTGATCTAGTCAGGATATTCGGGATTTGTCATCTGAGTATAATACATTTTTGTTAACTGTAGATACTCTAATGTGCTGTGAAACATGTAAGAACTATATTCTACTTGAACCTTAATATATTTAAACTCTAGTTTTCTTATTGGATATTTCAGTGTTTCCAATTTCTCCTTTCTAATAGTCTGTGATATATATAAATTTAGGTAAGTCATATTATAGTAATATCAAAATAAATTTTTCAAAGTAGAATTTCCTGGAAAATGTACATGAATATTGTAAGGCTCTCTCTCTGTATATACACACATATACATACACATGCACACACATGTACATGTACATATGTGCACATGTATATGTGTGTGCGTGTGTGTGTCACAATCTGCAGAAAGATATTGACAATTCTGCTTTAACCAGTATCTTCTAACTTTGAAGATGATTTTGCCCAGATACATTTTTTTCTTTATACATTATCAATTTCCAAAAATAAAATTCTGAGCTGTATGAATCAGAACCAGAAATTGTGGGAAAATGCCTAAACTTTATTTTTTACTGTTTTGTTTTTTTTTGTTTTGTGGTTTTTGTCTCTTTAAACTGATCAGAAAGACTTAAACCTGCTTCTGAGAAAGCAGGATGTGACCAGGAGGTAAGTAATAGTGAATGCGGCAGAAACTGTTCCCCAGTCCCAGCCCAGTACAGTCAGTGGAATTAGAGCGCAAATTCAGGTCCTGAAGGTTGAGCGATGCATAGTGAGAAAAGAAAAGCGTGCATATGAGTTAGAGGATGCGTGACTGTGTTTCTAAAATTGAGCCAGAATATCTTGTAATTATGTCTTTGCAGGAAATAAAGAAATAATCTTTATTTTAAATTATGTCTTAGTAGGCTGTCAGAATTTAGCTTGCTTTTGCATTTGATTTTGGAGTTTCAGCCTTTCCATGTATTTGATTCTTCACAGGAACACCAGCAAAATCCTGCTGTATAGCCAAATACCTCCATTTAATCATTATATCTTCAAAACTGGTTTTACATTAGTGTGAAGAATCTAAAACAAGATTTTATTTTTTATTAGCATGGAGATAATTATGTAAAGCTAATTTCATTCCAGGACAAGAAACAGAATACTATTTCCAGTGCTGGAGGTATTAATAGATGAAGCCATCCGGTATGACTTGTGAAGATGGAGAGGATTGTCATAGAACATTCACCATGTATAATATTATCTCATATCATCTTAGTATTTGCGTTCCCTAAAAATTAATATGTTGAAATACTAACTTCCAGTATGATAATATTCGGAGGTAGGGATTTGGGGAGGTGATTAGGTCATGACAGCAGCGCCCTCATCTATTGGATTAATGTTCTTGTAGAAGAAACCCTAGAGAGACTCTGTCCCTTCCAGCATGTGAGAACACAGCAAGAAGGCATTGTCCATGAGGAAGCGGGCTATCATCAGACAACATATCTGCCAGGGCCTTGATCTTGGACTTCCAGCACCCAAAACTGTGAGAAATAAATTTATGTTGTACATAAGCCACCCAGTTTAAGCTATTTTGTTGTTACAGCAGTCTGAATGAACTAAGACATTATTTCTAATAAAATTTTGTAAAATACTAAAGCAGCCATCCTCAAGTCACTCTTATAATTTTTATGGGTATATGGATGTGTTCTCATAAATTTTAATGCTTAATAGCTTTTTTGGATGATATATGGTTTGTTACCCAAGTTTATAAGAAGATTGCTTGTTATTACTTCCCTGGGATATGGCTCCCCTGAATATCACGCAAGAAAGAGGATCTTATTTTTATTTTTTTTTTGTAACTTGTTTTTTATAATCCAACACAGAATTAAATCAAAATAGTTTCTAAAATAGTAATGTCAAACTCTATAGGTGGAATTGATCCTAATTAAAGTAATTGATTAATATGAATATTTAGTTCATTTATAATATTTCTGAACCTTTCATATGCATTTGATAAGTTCATTTTACTCATAAACAACAAATATTAAAACTTAAAAAAGGTACAGCCATAGTACCACCCACATGGTTTGGATAAAATTTCACTTCAGAAAATAGTGCTTCCATGCATAGCTTTTTCCAACAAAATATTTGTTCTTAAAATATTATGGATAATTCATTGAAATGAGGACATTAATGAATGGCAGATTATATTTTCTTAATATCATCCTTCATATTAATTTTTTTAAAAGATACCAGGAAATACTGGCTGGCTCCAGGACTGAATGAAATTAAATATAATACACAATTAGTATATGTCTTATTCACTCACTCTGTATGTTTCTATTGAATCCCTTCTGTGTATAGATCAATGTGTTGAATGCAAGTGAATAAAACATTCTTCCCATTCTTAAGTATTTTACAGTCCAGCTGGGAAGACACAAATTCAACCCAACAGATAATATAATATATACTTCATGCAGATAGTAAAAGAACAGAAATATTTTTTTAAAATTCCAAGAGTAAATCACTACTTGGAAATTAGAAATGGCATATTAGGGACAGAATTTGATAGTTAGAAAATTGGTGAAGAGATAATACAAGTCCTTTAGGCATGAAATGTAGTTAAGTAGCTCTGACCTATATTTACTCACATGGACTCAGTCACTAAATAATAATTTATTTTATTAATTATTCATATGGGAGACAAATTAATGATCCTCTAGTAACCTCTTGAACCAGGGACACATCCATACATTAGCATATCATATAGAAAGAAACATTAATCTTTATAGCATTGATAATCTCTATAATTCTCTAAGCTTATTTTGAAAACTAATACTGAATATTTATTAGGCAATGTTAACTTTGTAAGCCTCTTGAGGTAGGCAAGGCAATTTTAGATAACCCTGTGGAACAGGTGAGGCAAATTTTAAAGATGTGAAAACTGATGTCATGAGAGGCCTAAATGCAAATAACTCCTAAGCACAGGCTTGGGAATTCAATCCAGGTATTTTGACCCCAGTTTAATTTCTTCTTTTACTATACCACACTGCCTCTTTCAAATAGGCTTAGCATTTGGATACTATGTTCTGTTATTAAAGCAGCTCACCACCCATCTTTTAATATGGGGTAGAAAATAGCTTTAAGCCTCTCCAGGGGGCGCTCTTAACCTGGAAAAGAAGGAAATGCATCACAGGTGAAAGAACAGCAGAACAATGTGACCTGCTGCTAATTTGCAGTGGTATTCATTTGGGTGGGATTTGACATTTCTGGGTAGATGTATATTTGTGATTGATATTTCATTCTTTAAAGCACAGCCTTTAAAACAGCTGTGAAATGCCAAGTTATTAATTTACACATTGCAAAATGTAGTGTTAGGAAACCGATTTACAGCTTTCCAAATTCAACTCCAGGGATACTAGGCTTTTGAAATCAGCACATCATGAAGAAGATTATCCCAATCAGCATAATTCTAAAAATTGCTGCCCAGTGTTCAGCTCTGCATAGAGCTAAAGGAATGAAAAAGGTGGTCAGGTGTAGTCACAGTAGATACAGCCAAAACAGAAAGACATATATACTTTGCAAGGGGCGGGGGGGCAGGAAACATTTTTCTCTTTCATGCACATATTTTTTGTTTTAGACTTAGTTTATTTGGGCGGTGTATGGGACTGACTATTTAATGTATTCTTTCTTGAAATGGTAAAACAATCTCTTGAGAAGAGGGCTTCATTTTAAATAACATGTAAAGCCTGTTTTACAGATCTTCTCCCTGAAATGTATTCATTATTCTTTTTCTGTTCTTCACAGAGTAGATGCGAATATATAACCATGAAAATAAGTAGTACTAACAAATCATGCCTTAGGCATTCCTAAAATGAAAGACTACATGAAATACTTTCATAATGAAGCTTTTGAAAACCAATCCATGAATTGATGTCTAAATTGTATTGGAAACAATACATACTTGAAAATTGCACTGGAGTTTAAACAAATTTTAACTAACTCCCTACATTTTTTTTTCATTTTTAGAGGTTTATATGAACTGGGACATTGATTTTATGGTAAACAAAATATTTACATGGACTTTTTAATTCATTTATCAGTATAGAAAAAGAATAAGAATACCAAAGCAAATAAAGGTACATCTCTTTACCATAACGATATCACTTACTATGTTCCTGACTTGCTGACATTTTAAAGGATGAAGAAACAAAATATTTGTTTAGAAATATGTTACAAAACCCAAATATACTAGCTGCTTACTGAGCAATTTGAATCTTCATAGTAAAACAAAATGTTTTAGCACAGATAAAAATATAGAAAAAATAAAATTTTAATTTGTGTTATTTGAAAATCTTAAATATCATAAAAATATATGTATTGCAAATGACGACATGCTATCAGTTGGATGAGTAAAGTAATGATTAGTGAGTATATCACAAGGAAAATATTGATACCTATTTCTCCGGATGCCTTAATCGTGGTGGCATAAGCCAGCCCACTAAAGGACATGTGTATGCCATAGCAACTCGGATTATTCCCACATTTGCTTTTTCAAAAATACATTGTGTTTTCACATTTTATTGAAATGCACATTAACATATTCGTAATACAATTATGGTTAAGCACATGACAACTGTTTGAAAACAATTAAGTAGAAATTTTAAATTGTCAAGTGAAAATATTCTTCAAAATTAAAACTCGACATTTTCTTACCACCCCTAGACATGTCCCCACTATCAAATCCAAGAAGAAGAAAATCAAATGTATTCCTTGTCATGGCTTTGCTTTTGGTGTTCTAAAGACAATATAGAAAATCACTATCTGATATTTAAAGATTATTAAAATATCTTTCCAAAAATAGTAAAGAACTGTCAAATAGCTAAATAATAAGTTTTTATATTTTAGGATACTCATCCATTGGTGAAGTCCTATAAACATTAGGTAAAACCTTCATCCAATGCTAGATTAAAAAAATGAAAACTATTTCTCTTATTATCTGTACCACAATAATATTGGTTGAAGTTACATTTACTGAATATTTACCAAGTACCATTCCCAAGTACCACATTCTTTGCTTGTCTGCAAACTTTTAAGTCATTCTATGTGGTAATTGCTATTTTATTTATATTGCAAAACTGAAAAATGCTTATGCAGGCACAGTAGCTGTATTAACATTGCAGAGATAGAAAGCATAAGGCCAGCACGGAATCCAATCTGATTATACTTGAAAGGGGAAGCTCAGGAACACCATGCTCCATCTTCCTCATCTTTGTAAGAGGATTTGCTTCATTATCGAGGGGTAAAATGTTCATGTTTGCATCACTTACAGATATGACTGTTAGTTTAGTTGTAATTAATTTCCCTCACTTTTACGTTAAAAAAAGAAGCACTAAAATAATGCAATTTAGTTTGCTCTCTCTTGTTTTACTTGTCTATCTAGGTTGAATCCAATAAATCACCAATTACAAAACACTGAAGTTGGCTGGCATTAAGTAGCTTATGGAACAACAGAGCTAACAGGTGGATACATCACACACTTTACATGTTTTTGCCCTACGGATATATAGATAGGAGAAAAATATGTCAAAAGAGACTCGAAAATGGCTAGTTCCCAAGTGGGTGGTCCTAGCTTACATCAATTAAAATAATACAGTTATTCTAATATTTCCCATTTTATCATAAAATTTTTCAGAAAGTTATCTTTGTCAGAAATTATGTGATACAGAAGTTTCTAGAAAAAATAAATTGATAGGAAAAAGTAGTATGGAGACAAGTATAGAAACAAAATAAAGCAGCCATATTATCAGTGATGACTATTTAATTTTTTTTAGTTTTCTCTAATCTTATTTTCCATAAATATTACTCACTTCATAATCTTGCATGCATAAGCAAATATCACATACAATACATTAACAAAAATTACCATCCTTGGAATGTTCTAAGAGCTTTACATATCTTAACAAATTTAATACTCAGAACAATCTAATTCGTTAGATATAATTAATTTCCTCATTTTTTATTATACTTTAAGTTCTAGGGTACATGTGCACAACATGCAGGTTTGTTACATATGTATACATGTGTCATGTTGGTGTGCTGCACCCATTAACTCATCATTTACATTAGGTATATCTCCTAAAGCTATCCCTCCCCCCTCCCCCAACCCCAGGACAGGCCCCGGTGTGTGATGTTCCCCTTCCTGTGTCCAGCTGTTCTCATTGTTCAATTCCCACCTATGAGTGAGAACATGCGGTGTTTGGTTTTTTGTCCTTGCGATAGTTTGCTGAGAATGATGGTTTCCAGCTTCATCCATGCCCCTGCAAAGGACATGAACTCATCATTTTTTATGGCTGCATGGTATTCCATGGTGTATATGTGCCACATTTTCTTAATCCAGTCTATCATTGATGGACATTTGGGTTGGTTCCTATGTGCCACATTTTCTTAATCCAGTCTATCATTGATGGACATTTGGGTTGGTTCCAAGTCTTTGCTATTGTGAATAGTGCCACAATAAACACACGTGTTCATGTATCAACACAGGAAATAAAGAACACACATTCTTTTTCCACACAAATTTTATTTTTTTTATTTTTTACTTAAATAAATCTTATTTTAGCATTAACTTCTTGCCAAGAAAGGTAACTCTATAACAAGTATTTGATTCCACCTCCAACCTCTCAAAAATCAACACAAACAATCCATATGATATAAAACAAGAAATTTCTGACAATTTGTACTGTACACATTCAAGTAATAGCAGTTTAAATTGAATTGTTAAGTGAATTTAGAAAACCTGCAGGGTTCAAGATCAATATAGCACTAACAAAAGACTCTATTTTTCTATATGCAACCCCCCAAAAAGCACAAAATAAAATAAACACAAAACAAATAACACACAAATAATTGAATTGTCAAATCAAACTCACACAAATCTAAGATCTTAACAAGAAAACTAGGCTTCACTAGTAATGACAAAGATACAGGCAATCATTTCTGAAAAAAGCCTGATAAGTCTCACATACAGCGGGCTCTCCCTGTTCTTCCACAGCAAACCTGTATTACCGGGCTTCCTATAACTGCTAAATCCCTAGGTTTTGTGATTTTACATCCACAACAGAAGAACAATTAGTCTGAGAGATCTCCATTGTCATCAATGTTTCTGTGAAGTTTTCTTTAACTCATAAATTCTGTACTTATTATCTATAAGCAATGCTTAGGGTCAGCCTTTCTCAGGCATTCCGTAGATAAGTTTCATTGTCCTAAGAAATAGTGTTAGCTAATTTACCCATAAGTTTAGTTACGTAAAATAAAGGAGTTTATGCCAAATTGATTCCCTTCTTTTCTTTCTGTTAGGAGTTGCTTAATGGTATTCGGGAGATAAATCAATTGCAGGTCAGTAGTTCTAACTTCTCCCTTTCTAGTTGTGCCAGATGAAAGAATATCAATAAAGCTTTCAGAGGGTGAGGGTGCAGGCAGTGGTACAAGGAAGTGACACTTAAGCTCTTAAGGTTCTGACGATATATGCACACATACATGTGTTTATATGTATACGTATATGTATATGTATTTTTATTTATTTATTTTTGAGACAGAGTGTCACTCTGTTGCCCAGCCTGGAGGCTGGAATGCAGTGGCATGATCGCGATCTCGCCTCACTGAAGCCTCCGCCTTGCGTGGTCAAGTGATTGATTCCCCCGTTTCAGCCTCCTGAGTAGCTGGGACTACAGGAACTGGCGCCACCATGCCCAGCTAATTTGTGTATTTTTTATAGAGATGGGGTTTCGCCACGTTGGCCAAGCTGGTCTCGAACTCCTGACCTCACTTGATTCACCCGCCTCGACCTCCCAAAGTGCTGGATTAAAGGCCTGAGCCACCGCGCCCCGCCAATATTCTTGATCTGAGTGAAGCTCACATTGGTGTGTTCACCAAGTAAAAGTTCATAGGACAGTGCGTAAGATTTGTGCACTTTTCACTCTATATGTTATCCTTTAATGAAAGTATTTCCTTCAAAAGTTACTAGAAGGTTACTTGAAAATGACTGAAAAAATGAGAAAGCTAAATGAGCACTGCTAAGAGTGATAATATATATGTATAAGAAATATTTGCCAAACGTTAATGTGAAAAACGTTATGGAAAAGTTTTCAAAAGAAAAGAGTTATATTTTCATTTGTGATTTCGCTTTTTGTGTTTGTGATTCCTTATGATTTTCATTGCAGCATTAACTTGATACTCTATTTTTCACAGGTAATAATTTGGTCAACTAATTGTATTCTGACTGTTTCTTGTAAGTCTTAAAAAGATTAGATTAGATCACTTTTCGTATTATTTGGGAAGGAAGTAAAAGTGAATGTGAAGTAATTTTGAGGTTTAAATTGATACCTAGGAAGGAGGATTGACCTAGTTTGTGCTGAAATTATAACCCCACCGATTTCATAACTATAAATATAAACAATGTATATTTTCAAAATAGGAATTACTATGAGGCACATTGTTGTTTTTATTTTTCTTTTCTTTTTGTCAAATAGCACATAAATGGATGTAGATTAATATATAGAAGTCGACCAGACACGGTGGCTTACGCGGGAGGCCGAGGAGGGCGGAGGCTGAGGCAGGCAGATCACTCAATGTCAGGAGTTCAAGACCAGCTTGGCCAACATGGTGATACCCCCATCTCCACAAAAAAATACAAAAAATTAGCGGGGCGTGGTGGTGGGCCCCTGTAATCCTAGCTATCACTCAGGAGGCTGAGGCAGGAGAATCGCTTGAACCCTGGAGGCGGATGTTACGGTGAGTTGAGACCGCCCACTGCACTCCAGGCTGGGTTAACAGAGCAAGACTCTGTCTCATTAAAAAAAAAATAAATAGCCGGGCCCGGTGGCTCATGTCTGTAATCCCAGCACTTTGGGAGGCCGAGGCGGGCAGATCACCTGAGGTCAGGCATTCGAGACCAGCCTGACCAATATGGTGAAACCCTGTCTCTACTAAAAATACAAAAATTAGCCGGGTGTGGTGGCCTGGGCCTGTAATCCCAGCTACCCAAGAGGCTGAGGCAGGAGAATCGCTGGAACCCAGGAATCAGAGGCTGCAGTGAGCCCAGATCGTGCCACTGCACTGAAGCCTGGGGCACAGAGCAAGACTCCATCTCAAAAATAAAACTAAAAAATAAATAAAAATAAATAAATAATATGTATCAATAAAATTGAGTAATTGAAATTATAAGAAGATAGATAATAATTTTTAAAATTTTTTTCAAAATCCTGAAGGATACTATAAATCAGAATATAGCAAGCAGTGTTATCGGACAAAAATAACAATTATAGGGCCCCAGAGAATTTTAATGTTATAACAGATATTTTTGGTGTGTGAACAAAATATGAGATAAAATATTCTACAGACAATGTGAAAGACAGTTACAATTAGGCAAATAATTTATGCATTTAGTGGCCATTTAATTATGTGAATATATACATAGTAATAGTATGTTAGTGATACAGTGAATATATATATTATGTTAACATAGAGTGTCTTTTTCATATAATCTTCCATACAACTGAAATTACTATTAAAACATGTAGTTTAAAATCCAATATTAGGCCAGGTGCGGTGGTTCATGCCTGTAATCCCAGCACTTTGGGAGGCCGAGGCGGGTGGATCATGAGGTCAGGAGATCGAGACCATCCTGGCTAACATGGTAAAACCCCGTCTCTACTAAAAATACAAAAAAATTAGCTGGGCGTGGTGGCCGGCGCCTGTAGTCCCAGCTACTCGGGAGGCTGAGGCAGGAGAATGGCGTGAACCTGGGAGGCGGAGCTTGCAGTGAGCCGAGACTGTGCCACTGCACTCCAGCCTGGGCGACAGAGCGAGACTCTGTCTCAAAAAAAAAAAAAAAAAAAAAAAAAAAATTCCCATATTAAATAAAAATTCAATTATTGGATAATGGAAACTAACATAATTTGTATACATATTTTACACAATATTTACTGTTAAAGTCATATTTTAGGCTAGATCTGACAACAACTAGACATTAATAAATCAATTTCAAGATGAAAAAAATTCTCAAAAAATCACATATCATCCAGTTTATCTAAAACCTGAAATGAGTTCTTACTGAACTAGGAAGAATTAAAAATAATCTTAGAAAAGCATGCTGCTTTTTTGACACATCTTGGTAACCTCATTAAAATTATTTAAATTAACAACAGCTTCCATATTACGAATTTATATATATGTATGTATGTGTGTGTATATATGTATATGTAAATATATATATACTGTAGTGTTTAATTTGAAAATTCCATCATTTCAGTGTTTAATATTTTAATGTACTGCTTCATAGAATAAATTTTGATATGTACAAATAAAACACAAATTTGAGGCTTTTAAAGTGATTTTATTTGACTAAATTATTATACTTTATAGATTGTGTTTCTACCTATACAATTAAGATATTTAATGTAGTACTAATAAAATTTCTAGAGAGCCAGATTATCCACCCACCCACACCTGGAAAGAATGACAGCTTGGGAAGAACAAAATTATCTGCAACTTGTCCCAAACTCTAATTAAAATAATAAATGAATCCAAAATACCTGTAGAGTAAAAGGAATCATACATATAAGACCACACCAAAAAGGAGTCATGAGTAATAAGGGCTATCTGTTTCATTTTTGGTTAAACCTTTTCAGGCCCACTTATACATATTATACAAGAGGAAAAAAAGAAAAGCTTGCAAATTATTATTGCATATATGATGACAAATTATATATCTATAACAATGTCCGTATATTAATTTATATATTTAATTAACATAGACTTAGTTTTATATATATTTTAAAATTGTTATGTTTCATGGCATAGACTGCTCCTTTAAAGTATTTTTTATCTCTTACTTCCTTGTTTTTTCCCATTATTATATTGGCTTTTCAAAAGCTGCAATTCCTTTACAGACGTCTTTGTGTTCTCAACTCTTCCTTACGCATGCATAATGAACCATTTGCTAAATTTTGAACAAGAGATTTAATATATCTAAATATTACCTAGTATAGTCTCTTTAAAAAAAATTGCCTTGATAAAAATAATGCCAAACATTTGAAAGAAAGTAAAAAAGGCATTTACAACGAGGATCTCTCTCTCCCTCTCTCTCTCTCTCTCTCTCTCTCTCTATATATATATATATATATATATGTATATACACACACACATATATATAATATATCAAGCACATAGGTAAAAGTTAACTTCTGTAATGAAACAATACACTCAAATCTTTATCTAATTTTTAATCTAATTTTTTAGCAAATAACTTATCAGAGCAAATGTGCTTAAGTAGTGCTAAAGATGCTTAACTTTTCTCAAAATAAAGTAAAAGTATTATTTTTAGTGTATTCCAAATTGTGTATGGTGTCATTTGGTTAATTAAGAAAACTATAACCACTTATATTTCATATTATATGCACATATAGAAGTATGTGATTATATAACTGTTTATTATTGAGAAAATAAGAGCATTGATATATATTTAAAAAAATGGATACAGAATTATTAAAGTATACTTATTACTCTGTTAGATTAATGCAACTATTGGTTCAGTATATATATTTTAATTTTCTCTCGGTCTACGAAACATGTAAGTTATGGTACATAGAAAGATGATTAATTTATATATTTTTTCTCTTGACATTGAGTATAAAATAAGTAATACATATACTTAAGATTAAAACTATCTTCTATTAATTAATATTTTCTAAGTGGCTAAAGAATCTATTTTCTTAAAAATGTGCGGTTACCTTGTTTTAAATAGCAATGAAACACATTTATATTAATAAATAGAACAAGAAGGCGCATCCATATAATAGATTAACATTTAGAAATAAGAGTTTGAGCTATTAAATCACACAAAAAGCAAGGATAAATCTTAAATGCACATAGCTAAAAGAAGCTAGGCTCAAAAAGCTACATAATGTGTGTTTCTGACTGTATGACATTCTGGAAAAGGTAAAACTATAGAGGCGGTAAACAGAGTAGTGGTTGAAAGGCATTGTTTTGTTACTGGTGTTATGTTTTATTTTTGTTTTTGTTGTGATGGGGGCATTTAATATGTAAAGCACAAGGAAACTTTAAGGCACTGAAAATATTTTGTCTTACATTATTATGGTAGGTAGTCAATACTATGTAAGTGCCAGAACCTATAAAAATTTATAGCACAAAGAATGAGTGCTGAATGCATGTAAGCAAAAACAAAGACATTTATGAGTCTGAGGGAACTGAAGATGGAGTGCAGAATGTGATAAAAGAACCTAACTATTATAAATAAATGAAACAACCACAATGAAGGAGAAAGAAAAGGTGTTGACTTTGATAACTTTGGGTATGAATGAATACTGTAAGAGCAAAGAAAAAAACTGTACTCCCATTATAAAGTTATTTTCTGCAGAGGGAAGGGTTAATGACTTTGAAACCATATGTGCATGATGGGATTGAATAATGAAGTAAACGAATGGTAGATTGTTGTTTCCCAATATTGGAGTAATTGATTAGAGACAGGTAAGAG
Source organism: Homo sapiens (assembly GCF_000001405.40). Lineage (NCBI taxonomy): Eukaryota > Metazoa > Chordata > Mammalia > Primates > Hominidae > Homo > Homo sapiens. The sequence goes on along the minus strand of NC_000013.11, from coordinate 87,265,012 downwards.
GAGAAGGCTGAAGTCATCTGTATTATGACATACTAGAGTTGGCAGCATCAGCATGAACAATGTTAAACTTAATGTAGACACACATAAGTACATACAGAACTATTTATAGTATTTTTAAGATACACAGGAAAATATACAGGCAGTTCCCTTGTTCTGTCAGCTGAGAGGACCCAGAAACAATTGTTTCAGTAGCCATGAACACCCCAGCAACCCAAATTGGTTTCCAGTACTATTCTCTAACAAAATAAACTGGGGCTTTTTGGAGAAATAGAAGAATCTAGAGCTGGGACAGAGTATATATAACATAACTCCAGAGCATCTTATAGTGACAGATAGTAAGGAGGTGCTCAAAAATCCACAATAATGGAGATATGTCAAAGGGACACAGGTACCAACTGAAAGAGCTTTCAATGTCCAAAGAGAGAAAATTTGAGCCATAATGTAAATAATAAAGTACTGAATTATTAACCACAATATAAAACAAATATCCATGAATCTATATTGATATAAATAAAGGACTGCATCAAAACATTAACAAGCGGAAATAAGTGGATCTCCCATGCTAAGTAATTCAAAATGTAATTACTCCTTGGAATGTAACTCTCTATTATTTAAGAAATATGGGCTGCGCAGAGTGACTTCTTTCCAAAGAGCACGGTATGAAAAAGGGTGGGGGATGTGTAAAAGTGTAACTTCATGTTAGAGAAACCTGACAAATACTACCTCAGCCAGGTGACCACTTTTAACAGCAACAACAAGCCATGTTGATTGTGACCATGTTTAACATCAATAAGTCATGTTGATTCCTTGGTAGGAAGTGATTAGCATGGCACTCTGCATCTCTTATCTTCTTCCTCAAAACATAAAACCCCTGCTTAATCATTGGAAAACATCAGGCTAACCCAAGTGAAGAATGTTCTGTAAAATACCCGACCAGCATTCCTCAAAATGCTCAAATTTGTGAAAAACAAAGAAAATGTCATAGCCAACAGAAGCCTAAGGTTGATGAGCAAATAAATTGTGCTGCTACGGATAGAACAGTAAGAAAAAAATAAAGAGATTAAGTAAAAAATGAAAAATATCTGAAGTATAGAATTTAATTACTAATAATTACCAATATCTGCTCATTAGTTGTGACAAAAATACTAGTATAAGACATTTAGTACTAGCATAAGACATACACGGTTGTGATAAAAGTACTAGTATAAGACATATACAGTACTAGTTTAAGACATTTAGAATAATAAAAACTATGGGTATTACATATGGGGACTCTGTGCCATCTTTTTTCATTTTTCATAAATGTAGAACTATTCTAAGGTAAAAAGTTCATTTAAAACTAATACAGATGCTGAATCTGAGATGAATATTTATAAACAAAAATAGTTTAGTTTGATTCTAACAAATAGCTCCCTAAACTAATAATTCCAATTCAATATTACAAGTTTTTAAATGAATAATTGGCAGTGAGAATGAATGCCTTTGAAAGTAGTATCCATTAGTTAACGTGGCATGGATTGTATTAGGTTTCTGCTTCAGTGAACTCAGTGATGGAAAGAACTCGAAGTTTAGTTCATAATTTTACGCTATGTGGAAAAGGTGGGGCTTTACATTGGTTCCTTACTGGGACTGTTTTTCCCAGTGGGGTAAAAATGAGCAGATATTCGGGTGTGCCAGAGCATTGTGAGGACATTTATCTAATTCAGATCATACAAACTTAGAAACAGGTATCAGCCATGCTCACCAAGATGACTGATTAATGGTAAACTCGACGACATTATTATTTATACATCTGTCACTCAATTGGGTGCAAATTTGAAAGGGTAAAAAATGAAACACTGCCTCTCCTAAAACTATTTAATATTAATGATAATTCACTTACGTAAAATCAGATATTTTACAAATGACAAAAACAAGTGTGTAAAGAGTTCTAGAGAAGTTCCCCTCCCCTCTTTCTTGATTAATTGGTCATATGGCTAGTCGATTATTTCCAGAGGGAATCTTGCTAGTAACAAAAAAGAATTTATGTAATATTTTTCCTCAGATAGTGATGGTGTTGAAAACCAATTTCATTATCCCAAGCATTACTAACATATGCTTAATATAGGATTAGATTTTTTAAAGAAATAATTGCTAATGTCAGCCTGAGCTAATTGTTTAAAAAAATTCCCAAAGTAGCCACATGTCTTGCACAGAACAACTAAACACTTCATAAGTATCAAGCTGTTCTTTCCCAAAGAAACATGAATCATAATATTGCTACTGAAAATGTTCATTAAACTAAATGAGAGTGCAATTAGCTTCCAAAAATCTTAAGTATTCCAACTTGCTGTCAAGAGAAATTATACATTCAAAATGTGTTTATTAGCTGCAGTGCATTAAAACTTCTGATTTCAGGAATATTTCGACCTACTTTTTAAGAACAATTTGTCTTAAAATAACTTCAAATGCAATTTCAAACATAACGTCACATAGTATAAGTGTATGGAAATATTCAGTTTTATTTAAACTTTTATTCTTTTTTTCATGCATCAAAGTAAAGACTCCATTTATACGAGTGTAAAAAAAATTTCAAGCCAGTAATTCGAATTTGTTTGGCAAATTCTATAAAATACTATAGAATTTGGGAGGTGGAGGCAGACGGATCATGAAGTCAAGAGATTGAGACCATCCTGGCCAATATGGTGACACCCTGTCTCTACTAAAAATACAAAAATTAGCTCAGCGTGGTGGCGCGCGCCTGTAGTCCCAGCTACTGGGGAGGCTGAGGCAGGAGAATCACTTGAACCCGGGAGGGGGAGGTTGCAGTGAGTCAAGATCCTGCCACTGCACTCCAGCCTGGCGACAGAGCGAGACTCCGTCTCGAAACAAAACAAAACAAGGCAAACAAACAAAAAAAGTGTCTAAATTGATTTAACTTAAGAAAATATTGTATTGAATTCTATTTTAATCCATATCGTGAACTCCTCACCTCATAAAACACCTATATATAATATTTAATTTTACAAATATTTTTAAACAAGTAGATGCTCTGAAGGTAATTCAGAGAAAAGATCTGAGGTCAAAAGCCAGCCTGGAACACAAAGCTATAAAGGTAATAGAGTTTTCAACCTGCTATATAGCACAGACGTTGCTATAAATCAAAGTAGATTAGAATTTTAGAGCACAGAGAAATGACTAAGGCAAAGTTTGAAGGATTAAGTTAAAGACCATACCTCATAGACTATAATACAGAAAATTGGGTACAGTGGGAAAAATACATTTCACAAAACAATACAACTATAAAATGTTTACATGCTTATCTCAGCTTTATCTTTCTTTAAAGAAAAAAATGAGTAAATTCCCTGAAAAGTTTTTCCATTGGTTGACCTTCAAAATAGCCTGGGACCTGCTTTTCTACTATTTTCATGGTCCAAAAAACACACACACATATAAAAGCACACATATGCATATGACGGAAGTTTCAGGCATGCATAATTGCCACTGAGTTCCCAAAAATATAAGCTCCCAATAAAGAATTTTTTAAATGAATTACAGTATACTAAAGGAAAGAAATCACACTAAGTCAGCAGTAACTACAACCAACATAGGTATAAATAAACATAATCCAGGTATCAGAACTTTCAAGCCTAGTATATGAAATGAATATAATGCAGACATACATAATTTAATGCAAGAATTAATAAAAGCATGAGTCAGGAGTAGGAGCCTATTACAATGACCAGGAATATTGAAAGGTAATATTATTTATCTCAGTTTCTTTCAGGACATCTACTCATTAAAAAGAAATAAGAACAAATTCATTTTGGGGCATATTAATTGTAACTGTTCCTGCGCAATTTATTGAATGAACAAATTGCTCTGTATTTGTCAAAAATCTGTTGTTCAAATATGTTTGTTGTGTTTCAAGTTCTCAATTCTTTTGAATAGATCTTGTTTTCTATCCCTAGATAAAACCCCAATGTCTTAATAACTGCAGCATTATAATAATGCTTAATGCCAGGTAATGTTAGTTCTTCAACTTGGTTCTTCTTCAAAGATATTTTGACAATTCTGAGGCCTTTGAATATTCATGTAAATTTTTGAATCACCTTGTTAATTTCTACTAAAAATCTTTTTGTGATTTTAACATCTATTCTAGGAAAACTATAAACAAACCTGAGGAGACTAGACACTTTCACTATATTGAATGCTCTGACTCAAAAAAAAGTGTATCTCTTGTTTTATTTAGGGATTTTAATATTTCTGTCATTAGTCTTTTTTTTTTTTTTTAGTTTTCAGCTTAAGTATATTTCATGTCACTTTTGATCTGTTATTCCTAATTATTTCATACTTTGATGCTATTGTGTTTTTTTTAGCATGAAGACAATGAATTTTTAATGTTGCTACATTGTCAATACTAAACATTACATAGTTAGAAAAACATCTAATGAATACAAAAATAATTTTTTGATTTATATTTTCCATTTTTTTCTACCCATAAATACATTTTGTACTTACGCAAAATACATCCCTGTAAGAATAACTAGGTCTTTTTCTTTTAACTTTCTCATTAGTGCATAAGCTTTTTATGAGTATAATAACTGTCAGTATTTGCACAGCACTTTGTAATTTATAGAGCATATTCACACTCACTATTCCATTCCATCTTCCCAACTACCCTCTCTGTTAGACAGGGAAGATGTTCTCCCAGATTTACAGATGAAGATGCCATGATCGACATCCATAAAGTTTGTACCATCAGAACCAGATCTCAGGCTAGAACAATAAATTTCTGGTTGTTGCTGGTATACAAAAATGTTATTGAATTTTCCATATTAATATTATGTCCTGTAATTTTGCTAAACTCACATACTGGCATTAATAGATTTTTTTTGGTAGATTCCATGGACTTTTACATGAATGATCATGTCATTTGGAAATGAGATGGTTTCATTATTTCTTTCAGATATGAATCCCTTTTATTTCTTTTTCTTTCCTAAATGCCCTTTCCAAAACTTTCAACACAATGTTCAGTAGAAATGATGAGAGTGTATAGCTTTGCCTCGTTACTGAACTTAGATGGAAAATGTTCAGTGGTTTGTTTTATGCCCTTTATCAAGTTGAGGAAGTTTCTATTCCTTGTTTTGCTTGTTTTTATTTAAAATAGGTGTTGGATTTTGTCAAATTCTTTTATTTTGCTTTTATTCTTCCCTCCCTCCCCTCCCTGCCCCCTTCCCTCACTTTCTTCCTTCCTACCTTCCTTCCTTCCTTCTTTCCTTCCTTCCGTTTTTTTCTTCTTCCTTTTTTTCTTTTCTTTTTTTTTTTTTTTTTTTTGAGACAGAGACTCCCTCTGCTGACCGGAGTGCTGGAGTGCAGTGGCATGATCACGGTTCACTGCAACCTCTGCCTTCAGGGTCCAATCAATTGTCCTGCCTCAGCCACCCGAGTAGTAGGTAGGATTACAGGCAAATGCTACCACACCTGGTTAACTTTTGTAGTTTTAGTAGAGACAGGGTTTCACCATGATGGCCAGGCTGGTCTCTTGAACTCCTGAGCTCAAGAAGTCTGCCTGCCTTGGCTTCCCAAAGTGCTGGGATTACAGGAGTGAGCCACGGCAACGGGCCTATTTGTTCTTATTTAGACGTTTCAAATAGTGATTTTTATATGTTGATTCTTGAATGTTCACCCAACTTGTATTCCTGATGTATTCCTGATATAACACTTACTCATTATGTTTCATCATTTTTATATACTGAGGTATTGAATTTATGAAAATTGTATTTAGAGGATTTTTAACTTTCTTCATGCAGGATATTTGATGTAGTCTTCTGTTCTTGAAATGAATTTGCTAATGGTATTAGGGTAACACTGTACTCATGAACACAGCAGAGATTCCTCCTGATTAATTTTCTGGTAGAGTTTATGTAGAATTGGTATACATTCTTTCTTCAATTTTTGGTCGAATTAATCACAAAAGCCATCTAGGTTAGGACATTTCTTCGTGGGAAAATAGTAAAATCTTTGTAATAGATATAAGAATACTCAGGTTATCTATTTTTTCTTGATCAAGCTTTGAATTTATGTATATTTCAGAAAATTTGCCAATTTTATCTAAAATTTTAAATTGATTGCTATGAAGTTAATGATATCTTCTTATTCTATTAATCTATAGCCATATCACATACTTCATTCTTCATAGCGGTAGTTTTTTTCTCTTCTTTTTATTCTGATCAGTCTCACTATAAGTTTATCTATTTCATTATTTTTGCAGACTCATTTTTTCATTTCAAAGATGCTTTATTGTTTTTCTGTATTCTAGTTTAGTTCCTGATCATAATCATTTTTTTCTCCTTATTTTGAGTATAGCTTTTGATTTTTTCTACTTTACTAAAGTTTGAAGTTATTGACTTCAGAAGTTTCTTTTGTCTAATATGTCATGCTTATTAATATTCCCTAAAGTATTGTTTTGCCAATTTCTGTCAATTTGATTATGTTGTGGGTTACATTTTCCTTCATTTCAAAACACATTCTAATTTACCTTTTACTTTTTTCTTTAATCTTGAATTATATAAAAGTATATTATTGACCGGGCGTAGTGGCTCACACCTGCAATCCCAGCACTTTGGGAAGCCGAGGCGGGCGGATCACGAGGTCAGGAGATGGAGACCATCCTGGCTAACAGGGTTAAACCCCGTCTCTACTAAAAAAATAAGATAAAATAAAATAAAATTAGCCTGGTGTGGTGGCAGGCGCCTGTAGTCTCAGCTACTAGGAAGGCTGAGGCAGGAGAATGGTGTGAACCCGGGAGGCGGAACTTGCAGTGAGCCGAGATCCTGCCACTGAACACTCCAGCCTGGACGACAGAGCGAGACTCCGTCTCAAAAAAAAAAAAAAAAAAAAAAAAAAAAGTATATTATTTTGTTTTCAAATACTTAGTGATTATCTAGATGCCTTTCTTTTATTAGATTGTAAATTATTTTTACTGTGGTTAAATAAAATACATAAGATAACTTGAATTCTTTTAAATGCATTGAGGTTTTTATGGTCCAGAATATGGCCTTTTTATTGTTCTATAAATTATTGAGAAATTATTTTAAAATATCATGGATATTTCAGGCTGTTTGTTGATATTTAAGAATATTGTCATCAATTCTATAGCTTGGGGCATTTGTGCTTGTACCATGTCTTACAATTCACACACAATTCTGAAACATTGCAGTCCATTCTCCTACAATACAGAATAAAATCTTACTATAGATCGATTGTTAACATTTTCAATTTTCTGCCTATGGGAAATATTTTATAATTTATTTTGCATTTGATAGGAAGCAGGTTGAATATCACCTTATAAATATTCTCTTGCTATAAAATATCCATTGACTAGGTGATTTTTTTTCAAATTGGAAAGATCTATGACTACATTGGGAGAAAAGCTAATTTTTTTCCTCTAACTTCCTTTGCTTACTTCCTTGTAAGCTATAACACCGTATAGTGAGGTGAATGCTTATTATCCACTCATGCAAATGGAGCCTTGGAGCTGCAAAAGCTCTGTCTACTACATGTCCCTGTATTTACTATTGCTTTGCAGAAGAATACTAATCTGATGAGTGGTTATGTCAGGAGAAATTGTCATTCAATTCAGGAATAGCCCTTTCTTTTTATCTCCTCTTCATTTTCCTCTGATCCTCTGCTTCATTCCATGTATCTTGCCAAGCTCTATATTCTGTAAAGCCTGGTGTTAAATATCAGCTTTACAAAATTATATGTAGACCTCATTAAGTCAACTTTCTTATTATCCTGCTGGTTGTTAAAAAATTTCAACAGAAAAGACATCATCTTTCTTTTCTTTTCTGTTTTAGTTTTTTCAAGAATTGATGGTCTCAGTGCTGTATCTCAGTATTTTCTGAACACACACACTTTACAAATGAATTGTGCTATCATCATAAATTAGCGTAGTGAACTTTCTTCAACTGATAATACATTTGCAAATATTTTAGGGGAATATAGGACCCTTCTCCTGGTATAAGCTAAAGTCCATTCTCTAAGATTTTATCTTTGCTATCCTACACAACATTTACTAAGTACTATATTCATTATAAATTTATTTTCTCCTAGCTTTATTGAGGTATAGTTGACAATTTTAAAAAATTATGTAATTAAGCTGTATGCCTTGATGATTTGATACATGTACACATTGTGAAATAGTCAAAATCAAACTAATTAACATGTTTATTACCTGGCATAGTTACAATTTTATTTTTCTGTGTGTGTGGTGAGTATGCCTAAGATCTACCCTCTTAGTGAATTTCAAATATACTACAGTGTTGCTAACTTTAATTACATTGTTGATCAGCAGATCTCCAAAACTTGTTCATCTTGCATCTTTTAATCTTTGTACTCCTTGACCAACACCTCCCAATTTCCCACCCACCACGCCATTTCAGCCCCTGGTAACTACCATTCTACTTTCTGTTTCTATGAGTTTAACTATTTTGGATTTAATGTATACATGAGATCGTGCAGTATTTTTCTTTTTGCTTTTGGGTTATTTTAGTTTGCTTAGCGTTCAATGTTGTGGCAAATGGCAGAATTTCCTTCTTTTATAAGGCTAAATAATATTCCATTGTTTACACATAATATATAATAACAATTTTATTTTATTAGGGAAATAATATGTTATTAGGAATATAGGAAATATACATATTTTATATATATTTGATGCAAAGGTGATTGGCAGCAACACCTCCTGCAGTCAGAAATACTCTTCAACTTTCTGCTCTCTAAAAACTTAACTGCTAATGGCCTACTGTTGACTGAAAGCAGTATCACTGATATGAGAATCAATGAATACATATTTTATATATTTTACATATTATATACTCCTTACAATAAGTAACCTAGAGACAAGCAAATGTTATTAAGAACATCATAAGGAAATGAAAATACATTTACTATGCATTAAGTCATTAAGTGAAAGTGGTCATCATACAGATCCTCCTCATCAACTTCACATTGAGTAGACTGAGAAGGAGGAAGAAGAAGAGGGGTTGGTCTTGTTGTCTTAGGGATGGCAGAGGCAAAAGAAAATACCTGTATAGTTGGATCTGCATAGTTCAAACCTACGTTGTTCAGGGGTCAGCTGTGTATATGTATTTCTTTATTAATTAATCTATCAGAGGAAATTAGATTGTTTCCATATCTTAGCTGGATATGAGTGAGTGATGCTGAAATATTTATGCGAGGGCAGATAACTCTGTGAGTTGCTGATGTGATTTCCTTTAGATATACACAAGATGCGGGATTGCTGAGTCATAGAGTAGTTCCATTTTTAATCTTTTTGATGAGCCTGAATACTATTTTCCATAATGACTGTACAAATTTACATTCTCTATAACCACGTACAAGGATCCATTTTCTCTATATCCTCGACAACACTTGTTATGGTTCATCTTTCTATCAGTAGGCATTCTAATAGGTGTCAGATGTTATCTCATTGTGGTTTTGATTTGCATTTCCTTGGTTATTAGTAATACGGAGCATGTTTTTATTTACTAGTTGGCCACTTTTATGTCTTCTTTTGAAGAAACATCTATTCATCTTGTTTTCCTACTTTTAATCAAGTGATTCTTTTTTTCTCTTTTTTATTTTTTGCTATTGAGTTGTATGACTTGCCTATATATTTTAGGTGTTAATGCCATATCAGATGTATTGTTTGCCGATATCTTCTTCCATTCAGTAGGTTGTATTTTCACTTTGGATTTTTTCCAAGAGTGAAAAAATGCGCTTCCTTTGCTGTGCAGCAGGATTTTCATTTGATGCAATCTTGTTTGCCCACTTTTACTTTTGTTTCCTGTGCTTTCAGGGTAATATCCTCCATATATATATATATATGTGTGTGTGTGTGTGTGTGTGTGTGTGTGTGTGTATATATATGTATGTGTGTGTATATATATGTATGTGTGTGTATATATATATATATATATAGCCCAGATCAATGCCAAGAAGCTTTTTGTCTGCACTTTCATCCAGGAGTATTATTGTGTCAAGTTTTATGAGTAAACCTTTAATGCATTTTGAGCTGACTTTTATATATGGTGTGAGATGAAGGTCCAGTTACATTTCTCTGCAAGTGCATATTCAGTTTTCCCAGTACGAGTTTTTGAAGAAACTATTCTTGCTCTATTATGTGTTCTTGGCATGATTAAAGAAGATCAGTTGACCCTAGATGTACAGCCTTATTTCTCATCTCTCCAGTCCATTTTATTAATCCATATGTCTGTTTTCATGTCAGTACTACACTGTTTTGATCGCAATAACCTTATAATATATTTTGAAATCAAGAAGTGTGATATGGCCGGACACGGTCGCTCATGCCTGTAATCCCAGCACTTTGGGAGGCCGAGGTGGGGGGATCACAACGTCAAGAGATCGAGAACATCCTGGCCAACATGGTGAAACCCCATCTCTACTAAAAATACAAAAATTAGCTCGGCGCGGTGTTGCACACCTGTAGTCCCAGCTACTCGGGAGGCTGAGGCAGGAGAATCGCTTGAACCCGGGAGGTGGGGGTTGGAGTGAGCCGAGATTGTGCCATTGCACTCCAGCCTGGTGAGAGAGCGAGACTCCATCTCAAAAAAAAGAAAAAAAAAAAGAAAAAGAAAAAAACATGTGGTGTGTTTAGCTTTATTCTTGAGATTGCTTTGGATATTTGTGGTCTATTGTAGTTCTAAAAGAATTGTAGAATTATCTTTTCTATTTGTGTAACAAATGCATTGGTATTTCGATAGTGTGTTTATTAATATAATTGAAGATATAAGGCTAGATAGTTAGCATTCTGCTTCCAGTACTTATGAGAACACTATCAAAAACACGGTAACATGTTCCATTGTTAATAAATGCTATGGAAGAAGTTCTGTACGCGTAAAAGCAGCTTATATTTATTTACAAAGACTTTTGAACAAGTTTTGGCAAAGTTATGAATTCCTTTCACTTGAAATATTAGAATGAGCATATGTTATCCTTTTTCAATAATTATGACTTTATTTGAAAAGATCTCAAAATAGGAAAATTCCTTGAATTAAAGAGAAAATGATTGTCGTTATGTATAGTCTGTTAATACACTTTGATTTTTTGAAGTTATAAAAAATTATTTTAGTTCTCTCATAAGTTCAGATGATAATTTTCCTTTTTCATGAGACACTTGTCAATGATTGACTTTAGGGTAAAAATAATTTTCTATGATTGTATTCAATTTTCTATGCTCTCAAATAGCTTTTATAACCTTTGTTTTCCAGATGGAATAATAGTACTCACTTAAAAGACTGATCTTGAAAAATATTTAAGGCTTGATCTTGAATGCTAAACTATTTCATCAAAGGTATCTGGTGTGACTTCTATTATCAAACCAAACTTAGCCATTGTATTCCCAAATTACTCATTTTATATAGATTCACCAGTTTATTAATACTAATTTCCATGTTCTCATAAGGTTTTTAAAATTGCAGTATCACAGCCATATATATATATATATATATATATATATTTCCTTTCTAATACTCATATGAGTGCATTTCTGTGAATATAGCTATATATCCTTGTAAGGATTTTTTGATCATATTTTAGAAAGACATCTATTTTATTCATGAGTTCGTTTAACTAATATTTATTTCTATTGACCAGAAAAAACTAGTGTACCAAACTTTTCAATATGAAATATTCCTATTTACTTAAGCTGATGTGTTTTTGTCAATGAATTCTAATTTTATCTCATTAATAATACTCTATTTTATTAATGTTTTCATGATATACCATTCCTATTCCATTATTTTCTATATGTCTGTTTTTTTTAATGGTTTTGTTATGAAACCATGATAGCTCAATTATTTTTAACTCAAACAGAATGTCAATGCATTTTAATGGGAAAATTTGTTCCATTTCCATTATAATAATCATGTTCCTCATGTTTTCACTTTTCTTTTTTTTGTTGTGTTGTTGGAATGAATTTTCTTCTTACTTTCTGTTTTCTTCTAATATTTTGAAAATGAAACAGTATGCATTATTGTTTTCTAGAAATTAAACACCGTATAACACATGTAAGCACAAACGTTAAACATATATGCCGCATTTATTCTTACAGTGTACTCTCAAATCTTACCATGCACATTTAACAGTTTTTCTTAAATGTAGACATATTTTTTATCTGCATGCAAAAAAGGCAAAAATATTTTACTTTACCCCATTTTCTCCATCCATGTCATTCAACTGTGAGATCAGGTAGGATTCTTTTATTTGGAGATTTTATATACACACATACATAAAATTCATGTTTGTGTAAATTTAAACATATCTTTGATTGCTTTCCCTATTCATGATTACATTTTTACTATTGTATTTTGCTGAGAAAATGTCCATTTACTGCTTTACATACTCCAATAATCATTTGTGATTACATAATATTATTACATATTATATAATTATATGATGACACATTACATAGTTGATTATATAACATCTCAGTATATCATGCATATACACACACAAATGAGAGACATTATTTCATTTTTTCTTCTTGGGTAGTATGCTCTATGAATCTTTAAATGTCTCAGCATAAAAATGTTTTATCTTGCTCTCACATTTATATAATAATTGGATTGCTGAATTTTCAACCAAAATTATTTCCCTCCAAACTTCCATCGTGTCTCTACAGCTGGTCTAGCTATGAGGGTCTCCAGTGTCAGTTCTTCTGTTTCTCTCTATGGGTTTTTATAGCTCTTTTTCTTATTTTTGGAGTTCAGGGATTGCACTGAGCTATTTTCCTTCATCCTGCAGAGCCTGTTGGAGCCTTTCCAATGTGAGGCTGCTTATTTTGGACACACACACACACGCACATACACACACATACCTGTGTTTCCTTTTTATCTCATTTATTTTCTCCTTTAACCCTAATTACAAAATTATGAAAATCTTATGTATTTTTTCTTATGTTATATTTTACATATTTTTTCTTATGTTATAATCCTATGTTATATTTTCTTAACATATTTCTCTTTATATATTACCTATCAGGATTTTCTTATTGTTGCATTGTGAGAAAATTTTAGCTCCATCATTTCTTTCCCAAATATAATCTATAATTGCTCCCTTTCAAAGTCAGTACATGTGAGTTTCTGTTTTATTACAACATTGAGTATATAATTTCTGAGATTTCAAGTTCATTCTGTTTTATCAGTAGAGTCTGTTGATACAACCTGCCAGCAGTGACTCTGAAGGCAAGATATCCTTCTGTTTTGTGAGGCACACCAGGCAGTGATCTGGAAGTTCCTGTGATGGAGATTTCCTCCTTCTTCTGAGCATTGACAGCTACCAAATGTCCTGCTCTGCTGCTGCCATCTTGCAGCCATGGTAGTTATTGTTTTTGACTTTAAAAAGACAACAGTTCTATCTGCTGCTGGGCAAGCAAAGCGGAGGGAAAAGGTAGATCCTTTGCGGCTTTCCGGACGCAGCACTGAATAATGGCTGCCTGGGGTCCTCCTGATTCTCTTCCTGCCCCTATTTTGGAGAAGCTCTTCAATACTTGCCCCTTTTGCTGCAGTGTGTCTCTACATATCCCAGACTGTTGTTTTCTCCTCTGACAAACCCTGTATCTTCTATATTTTAAGGATCTTTATATTTTTTGTTTTCCTCCTGAAGATGCTGCCTTTGATTTTTCCTCCACACCCCACTGTCAATTCTAGGGATTTGGGTAAGAAACAGAATTGTCATTTGTCATCTATATCTTATTTTCTTTGTTTCCTCAGCCCTTATACTCACATTTCATGGGTATTCATTTTGTTTTTTATTCAATTTGTTTATTTTTTCTTTTAAATACCAAACATCTGCAGTTAGCATAGCTAATTGTGGAACTTATTTTTGGAACTATGATGGTCAAATATGATAAATAGCTTCTCATCAGTGTATTTAAAATAATTGCCCTAGGAAAATTAAATTATTTATGTATACATGTAGATATGTTGCATATTTTATTAGAAACTATAGATATAACTTATTACAGAAAAAAAAAGAAATGCCATGATGTATTTACCAGCCTTCTGAAACAGACTACCGTTTAGTTCCCTGATGTCGAGTTCATTGGAGACTCAGTGATTCCAACAGCAAATGAATTTTTGTGATAGATAGCCTAAAGCTGTTCTGGGGTTTAGAGGTTGGTACTTCATTAATTGAATTCTTTTGGGCATGATGTTATTCAACCTACTCTCTCCAAGACACCAAATCTTTAATTAGTTACTTACCACAAACATATATTTAACACCCTTAAGTAGGATGATTTTCTACTAAGGCCAGATACAGTTTTAATTGTAAACTCTCAACAGTAGAAGCTTTTCCACATTATTTATTTCTTCTTAGTCAGAATAAAATAGCTGGAAAACATGTTCATTTTTCTATTGTAAAATGAACATGTTCAGAGTAAAAGTCTATTACTCTGAAATACGTGTAGGTCTAGCATAAACTCATTATTATTTTCATTAACAGGACCAGAATTTACCTTTATTATCAGGGTTGCTCTAATTTATTTTAACTTGTTTTACCCTCACATCACACCCCTTCTGAGATCCAGCGTTGCAAAGATAAAAATAATATTAAAATAAAATAAAAGCTCTATTTAGTAAGAGAAAATGAGAGATGAGGACTTGGTTGATTAGGGAATTTTTTTTTTTTTTTTTTTTGAGACGAAGTTTCACTCTTTTTGCCCAGGCTGGAGTGCAATGGTGCGACCTCAGCTCAAGGCAACCTCCACCTCCTGGGTTCAAGCAATTCTCCTGCCTCAGCTTCCCGAGTAGCTGGGATTACAGGCAGGTGCCACCACGCCCGGCTAATTTTGTATTTTTAGTAGAGATGGGGTTTCTCCATGTTGGTAGGGCTGGTCTTTAACTCTTAACCTCAGGTGATCCGGCCGCCTCCCAAAGAACTGGGATTACAGGCATGAGCCCCCCCGCCTGGCCGATTAGGGAAGTTTTGAATAGGATACTTTCCTTTTTTAAGACCTTATCTTCTAACTTTAAGTATGCCTCACACATTTCATCTTTGGTGGCCTCTGTATCCCATTCTTGAGGCCATGTGCTCTCATTGATACATCCGGATGTCAAAAGCCCATTATCTCTAAATTGACATTAACCCCAAAATACATCTCTTTCCTTTTTCCCTTCCTTGTGCCCTCAACAAATTTTCATTGCTTTAAGACTCTTGGATATAAACAAAAATTAAGTTTTTAAAAATCTAAATCAAAAGTAAAAAAAATTGAGTGATCTGATTTAATTCTGGAAAATATATAGACAAATATCATCAACATAAATATATAAAAATTTTAAGCAACATGGCAATTTTAGTTTTTGGATGGTTAGGAAGCTGTCTTTAAATGAAATTTTACATTGAAACAAACTTGCATCCAAGGAATAAAGCCTACATGATCTTGGTGAATTAACTTTTTGATGTGCAGCTGGATTTCTTTTGCTAATATTTTCTTGAGGATTTTTGCTTCTATGTTTATTAGGGATATTGGCCTGTTGTTTCCTTTTTTTGTTGTGTCTTTGCCAGATTTTGGTATCAGTGGAAGTTAAGCCTTGGGTACATGTAAAGAGGGGAACAGTAGATGCCCAAGTCTCCAGTAAGAGGAAGAGAGTGGGGCTAGGGCTGAAAAACTTCCTATTGGGTAGTTTTACTATGTTCACAATCTGAGTGCTGGGATCAACAAAAGTCCAAACCTCAGCATCACACAATATACCCTTGTAACAAATTTGCACAAGTACACCCTGAATCTAAAATTAAAATTTATGTGTATACAGGCACACACACACGCACACACACACACACACACACACACACACATATATATATATATTTGTTTTTGTTTTTGTTTTTAATTTTTTTGGCCAGGCATGGTGGCTCACACCTGTAATCCCAGCATTTTGGGAGGCACAGGTAGGTGGATCACTTGAGTTTAGAAGTTCAAGACCAGTCTGTGCAACATGGCAAAACCCCCAACTCTACAAAAAATACAAAATTAGCTGGGTGTGGTGATGGGTGCTTGTAGTTCCAGCTAATCTAGAGGCTGAAGTGGGAGGATGGCTGGATCCCAGGAGCTGGATGTTACAATGAGTCAAGACTATGCCACTGCACTCCAGCCTAGGTGACAGAGCAAGACCTTGTCTCTAATAATAATAATAATAATAATAATAATAATAATAATAAGATACTTCAGTTACCCTCTAACTTGGAATTTTTCCATTTTTTTGCAATACATGGCTAAAATCCTATTTTGAAATATTTTAAAAAGTAGTCCAAATATTAACTTATTTGTTAATTTAAAAATTCAGCAATTAATATTTGTAATTTTTAAGCAAAATGACTATAAAGTTATTAATTTTGGTTCATGATTATATATTATTTATTCTTTAATAAGATTATTTAATTCTCATAACCGCACATGAAGATAAGCCGCTAAGCTATTTGTTTTGACCTGTTGAATTTAAGTCAGTTCTCTTTATCCAAATACCAGGAGAATCACCAAATAGTCAGTTTTAGTTCATATTTCTCTACAAAGATTTAAAGTACTCAAACAAGAACATGTAAGCTAAATTCAACAGTAAGAAGTTCTTATTTCCAGTTAACTTACTGATAACTTTTGAGGAGGTTGAGTGAGCTAATGGAAAGTTAAATAGGCCGGAAGAAGAAAACATGGGAGTTAAATGATCAGGTTTCTTTTTGGTTCCTTTACTCTTGGCTGCCCTCAGAAACAAAATGGTTTGCAGAATCGACACTGGAGGTTAGATCTATGTTTCTAGTTTTTCAATATGAAAAATGATAATTATTATAAAACTAAATTATTTCCTTTGAAACAGACGTAAGTGAAATATACATATTAGAATATTAAAATATGAATTCAAAGTAATAAACTATTGCATATATAGTTTAAACTAAATATATGCATGATATATGATAATTTATAAGACATATGTATGTTTTTCTGTTTTGCAAAATTAAATACAGAAATACCATGAAAATATTGTATATTAGGTTCCAGACCACTGCAATCAAGTGAATGTTGTAATAAAGTGAGTCACATGAATTTCTTGGATTCCCAGTGCATGCAAAATTTATGTTTACCCTATACTGTAGTCTATTAACTATACAATAGCATTATATTTAAACAAATATATATATATATATATACCTTTTAGAAAAGTACTTAATTGCTAAAAAAATTACTACAGATCATCTGAGACTTCAGCAAGTCATATTCTTTTGGCTGGTGGAGGGTCTTGCGTCAATGTTGATGACTGTGTACTGATCAAGTGTGGTGGTGATTGCTAAAGGTTTGGGTGGCTGTGGCAATTTCTTAAAATAATACAACAACGAAGTTTGCTGCAAGAATTGATTCTTCCTTTCACAAAAGATGTCTTTGTAGCTTGCAATGCTGTTTGATAGCATTCTACCCACAGTGCAACTTCTTTCAAAATTGGAGTCAATCCTCTCAAACCCTGCTGCTGCTTTATCAACTAAGCTTATATAACTTTTCTAAATCTTTTGTTGGCATTTCAACAATATTCACAGCATCATCACCAGGAATAGATTTCATTTCAAAAAACTACTTACTTTCTTCATCCATAAAAAGCAACTCCTCGTTTGTTAAAGTTTTGTCATGAGATTTCAGCAATCAGTTACATCTTCAGGCTCCACTTCTAATTCTAGTTCTCTTGCTATTTCTACCTCATCTGCAGTTACTTCCTCCACTGAAGTCTTGAATCCCTCAATGTCATTCATGAGGACTTTCTCTTCCAAATTCCTGTTTATGTTGGTATTGTGACCTCCTCCCATAAATCATGAATGTTCTTAGCGGCATCCAAATTAGTGAATCTTTTACAAAAGACTTTTCAATTTATTTCGCTCAGATCCATCAAAAGAATCATTACATATGGCAATTATAGCCTTATGAGAATTATTTCTTAAAATATGAGTGTTGAAATTCAAAATTACTCCTTGGTCCATGGGTTATAGAATAGATACTGTGTTAGCAGACACAAAAATAACATTAATCTCCTATACATCTCCATCAGGAGTATTGTAAAAGAGCAGCAATACTTCAAAAGGAATCTTTTATCTTAATTAGTAGGTCTCAATAGTGAGCTTAAAATATGCCATAAACCATGATGTAAATTGATTTGCTGATATTCAACATTTGTTTTTCTTTTACAGAGCACAGGCAGAGTAGATTTGGCATGATTCTTAAGGGTCCTAGAATTTTTTAAATAGTAAATGAGCATTGACTTCAACTTAAAATTCCCAGCTTCATTAGCACCTACCAAGAGAATCAGCCTGTCCTTTCAAGATTTGAAGCCAGCCATTAACTTCTGCTCTCTAGCTATAAAAGTCCTAGATGACATCTTCTTTCAATATAAGGCTCTTTTGTCTACCTTAAAAAACTGTTGTTTACTGTCTGCATCTTCATCAATCATTTAAGCTAGATCTTCTGTTAATATATAACTTATTTCACCTTGCACTTTTATGTTTTGAAGACGACTTCTTTCCCTAAACCTCATGAACCAAACTGCTAGCTTCAAACTTTTCTTCTGCAGCCTCCTCACCTCTTTCAGCCTTTATGGAAAAGAGAGTTGGGGCCTTGTTCTGAATTAGGCTTTGACTTAAGGTAATGCTGTGGCTGGCTTTATCTTCTATTCACATCACTAAAGCTTTTTGTCATATAAGTAAGTAATAAGAATGTTTTACTATCTTATCATTTGTGTGTTCACTAGAGTAGAACTTTTAATTTACTTCAAGAACTTTTGCTTTGCATTTACAACTTTGCTAACTGGTGGAAGTAGCCTAACTTTTAGCCTATTTTGGATTTAGACATGCCTTCCTCACTAAGCTTAGTCATGTCTAGCTTTTGATTTAAACAGATAGGCATGTGCTATGGTTTGGCTGTGTCCCCACCCAAATCTCCGCTTAAATTGTAGCTTCCCTAATCTCCACGTGTCATAGGAAGGACCTAGTGGGAGGTAATTGAATCACAGGATAGGGTTTTTTCTGCACTGTTCCCATGATAGTGAATAAGTCTCATGAGATCTGATGGTTTTATAAAAGGCAGTGCTCCTGCACACGCTGTCTTGCCTGCTGACATGTAAGAAGTGACTTTGCTCCTCCTTTGCCTTCCACCATGATTGTCAGGCCTCCCTACCCATGTGGAACTGTGAGTCCATTAAACCTCTTTCCTTTATAAACTACCCAGTCTCTGGTATTTCTTTATAGAAGTATTAAAATGGAATAATATAATATGCAATTCTTTCTTTCACTTCAACACTTAGAGGCCATTGTAGAATCATTTATTGGCTTCATTTCAATATTGTTGTGTCTTAGTGAATAGGGAAATCTGAGAGGAGGGAAGAGACATAGGGGAACGGCTTGTCAATAGAGCACCCAGAACACACCACATTTATTAATTGTCTTATATGGGCAGAATTTATGGCACCTAAAAATTACAATGGTAACATCAGTGATCACCATAACAGATAAAGCAATAATAAAAAGTTTGAAATATTGTGATAATTACCAAAATGTGACACAGAAACACAAAGTGATCACATATTGTGAGAAAAATGGCACCTATATATTTGCTGGACTCTGAATTGCCAAAACCTTAAATTTTTAATAAACAAAATACCTGCAAAGCACAATAAAGCAAAGTGCAATAAAACAAGATTTTTCTGTATCTACACTGTAATACTACTATACAAAATTAATCCAAATGAACTATGCAGGAGTTAGAGTTATACTCAAATTTATAATTTTCTATTTAAGGAGAGCAAATTAGAAAACAATTTCCTGTAGGGTTTAAAGTTGAATTTAGAACAAATTAATTTCAAAAGCATTTATTTTGAAAGAATTTTATTTAAGACAGCAAGAATTTATGATGTCTAAGTAGCTAATGTCATATGTTTCACTTACTATAAAACAAAGTATATATCTTTTTAAGTCATTAGTGACTAACTTGTCCTGTATATAATTTCCACCACTTCCTCCACCAAACCTATTTTCAAATAAGTCAATTTTGTCATTTGTTTCTTGAATTTTTAATTCATCAAGAGTGTATGGAAATATTTATTACTTATACACTTAAGGCCTCTAGGGCAAGGAGGCCAGCCTTCTCAAGCAAGTTCACACTGCATGAGAGAGCAAGAACAGAAGACAGGCTCAGGGTTCTTTTTATGACTAAGGACAGAGCAGAGGTGATATTTTCCCCATATAGGCATGCGCTTGTGTGGTTTAAATCTCCTACTGGCAGCAGGGCAAGGAGCACCCAACATTCTTATCAGCCTGCCCAGATGCAGGGCTGCAGGGAAGAGGCAGGAGTGGGCTTAATGGCTGTAGTTTTTTACAGCAAAAAAAAAAAAAAAAAAAAAAAAATGGAATCTGACTTCTTATTACAGACAGTCATTTAAGGGAAGTTTACAGCAACACTGCACCTGGAGACAACTGATGATTAAGTTAGGTTTCCCACATGGAAATAGTTCAGCTGCTAATTACCATTCATTCTGCTTCCACCTAAGATCTGAAGGGCTGTGACTGTAAGGCTTATGTCTAGGCCAGGGCATTTTCGGGGATGTAAAGACGGGATAATGCTTGCTCCAAGAGGGCAGAGAAAGGTACAAAATACCCTTGTGAAGACTGAAGCCTGTGGGGACAGTTCACTCAAATTCCAGCCTCATTGGAATAAAGCTGGATTCTCAAGTCCTGACAATATCCTCTTCTACCCCAAAGCAAAGAATCAGACATGTTTTAAAATGCAACTCAGCTGCAAAGATGAGTTCACAGAAAAGAATTTACGAGTTGGTGAAGTAAAAATATCATACAGAAAAACTTTTATGTGAAGATGCACAGAATAGGCAGAAAAGAAAACAAAACTATTATATTCCTAATTGAAAACATATAGTCTGACCTCCATACCTATGGGTTCCACATTTGTGGATTCAACCAAACACAAATCGAAAATATTAAGAAGAAAACAATAAAAAAAAAATACAAATTTAAAGACTATAACAATTATTTACATAGCATTTACATTTTATTTGGTATTATAAGTAATTGAGATTTACCATTTATGTGAGGATGTGTGTATATTATATGCAAACACTAAGTGATTTTATGTAAGGAACTTGAACATCTATCAACATTTTGGTATCTAGAGGGTCCTGAAAATAATCCTCTGCAGATACCAAGAGACAACTGTATATATGTCAGATTGCTCTCCAAAACCATTGTATTTATCTATATTCACACCAAGAATTTCTCTGAAATCTCAAATCCTCCTCCACACTTGTTATTGTCTACCTAAAAAAATTGCCGGTCTGATGTGAAACTAATATTTTAATTTTATTTAACTACATATTTAGCAAGATTCAATATTCCTTCATAAATTAACTGGTCATTTGAATTTCTCTTTCTGTGTAATGCCAGTCATTTTCTTTGCTCAGTTTTCTCTTAGTTTATATGGCATTTAAAAATATTTTTTGAATTACTGTCATATTATGGATTTAAAGATGAAGTTTGTTATAGTATTACAAATATTGTTTTTGTCCTGATATTGGTCTTTATTTATTTTAATTTTAAATGAGGCATCTTTAGTTCAAATATTTTATTTTTTTATCAAAATACCCCTCTTCCCTTATTTATACTTTTTGTACCTTTTAAAAATCAATGTTGCTTGTAATTATTTATTAAAAATATTAAATTTCCCATTTAATTTTAAAATTTTAAATTTTAAAATTATGCTTCACATGCATTTTATTGTATTAGTCTGTTTGTGTTGCTATAAAGAAATACCTGAAGCTGAGTAATTTATGGAGAAAAGTGGTTTATTTGCCTCACAATTCTGTAAGTTATTCAAGAAGCATGGTGCTGGCATCTAACTTGGCTTGTGGTGTGGGCTTCATGCTTCTTCCACTCATGGCAGAAAATGGAAGGAAACCAGCAAAAGCAAGAGAGCAGGGAAGTGTCAGGCTCCTTTTAACAATTAGCTCTTGCTGGAACTAGTACAGGCAGACGCCACTCATTACTATAAGGACAGCACCAAGCCATTCATGAAAGATCTGCCCACGTGACACAAACACCTCCTATTAATAGGCAGGTCTTAAGACCTGCCTCCAACATTGAGAATTAAATTTCAACATGAGACTTGGAGGGTCAAATATCTAAACTATAGCAGGTCTGAATCCCTATAGAACATTCTTATAAGCTGTATTTTTATTATTGTAGCTGTACTAATAAACATTGTAAGTATTTCCTTTATGTTCACTATGAAATATTGCTCAAAAACCTAGTTGTTTCTAAAAGCTTTGTGATAGCATGAAACATATTAAATAATCTAGTATGCAAACTTAAAATTTATAAAATTTACAGCCAAAGGACCAATGTAAAGAATATTACTTTACAGAGCATAATAAGTACAAAAAAGGGAAAAATTACATTTTGATGACATTATAATTGGTTAATCAGATTATTAAAATTGATATAAAACACTATGTTTAATGTATTATTATGCTTAGCAGTTCATGTTTGCTGAGTACCATTTAGGTCCTACATACCCACAAAAAAAGATACTTAAATGTGTGGCAGGTTGAATAATGGCTTCCTCAAATGTCTACATACTAGGTTTTGGAATCTGGAAAATGTAAATTTACATGACAAAAGATATTTTACAGATGTTAAGATGTTACCCTAAATTATCTAGGCCTGCCCAATCTAATCATTGAGTTCTTAGAAAAATAGAAACTTTACTTGCTGAGTTCAGGGTCAGGAGGATATGCAACTACAGAAGAATACTCAAAGAGATAAAATGCTGCTGACTCTGAAGACGGAGGAAAGGAGCCACCACCAAGAAATGTGTGCAGTTCTAGAAACTCAGAGAGCTTAGGAAACAGATTTTCCAAAGAGTCTCCTGGAAAGTAATGAAGACCTGCCAACACCTTGATGTTAGCCTGATGAGACCTGTTCTGAACTTCGAATTTATTGAACTGTAGAAAAATAAAATAAAATTGTTATAAACCAGTAAGTTTCTAGTAATTATTGCTTAAAACATAAAAATTAAAACAAAATGCAAGGAGAGAACGAAAAACACGGGGGAGGGAGGGAAGAAGTAACACAATGCTACTCCCCCTGGTGAAAATGGATTTCTATAATCCCAAGTTAAATTCCAGTAATTTATTCCATAATTCTCTTAAAACTTTAGCTCCTTTTCTAATTTCAAAAATGTGCAAATAAATGGGAAATCCTAAATCACCTCCTTGAGCCTCTGACATAAATGACAATAAATATTATAGAAATGTATAGTGAATGCTTATACATTATGCCAGACAAATGAGGTTAAGAAAAATAGCATTATCAATATGAATCTAGGCAGTGATATTCTGATACATAAAGCAAAGTGACACAAAGCACATAGGCATTATTTCCACTGGCAGGCAAAAATATGACCTTGAACACTCTAAATACATCCTATCAATCATCCCATCAATAAATTAAAATATATTATCTAGTCCTCTTGTAGCAGGTGGTATGAAAATAGAATGTATAACAAAATTTGAGGAAGTGCTGTTTGCTCAGAGAGGTTACATCTTTGTTAAATAAATAGTGATTTGTCAAGTCTAAAATCAGACTAATTAATTATAAACTGTTATAGGCATAACTGCATTTTGTTTATATCTGAAGTAATATTTCAGTTTATTTTCTATATGTCTAACAACAAAGTGACCTGATATAAAAGGAAATATTCTTATTTGTCCAGAATGTAATTGGTAAAAATTAATGTCAATAAATACTACAATATGTTTATTAACATGTATATGTCTGAAACCAAAGTAATCAGAAAACGCAATACAATATAAGTTCAGTATTTTTTTGAGTATGAATGCATATATTTATTTGACCTTGTTGAGATTGATGATTTATTTAAGGTAGCTAATATCAGTAAACAATCCTGCTGAATAGAAATTCTTGTAAGTTTAGAAGTGGATTGTGTTTCTCAGTGAAGTCTGTTTTTGTCAGAACATTATCTCCTAGAAAATAATTATTGACTTCAGTAAAAAGCATGATGTGATCATACATAAATATAATATAATTATTGATTATAGGCATTGCGATAATTTTTCATCATCCTATAAAACATAAATGTTATAGTCTAAGTCAATTAAATATTTAAGGTACAGATTATACTCCCCAAAATAACAAATTTGATGGAGAAGCATTAAGAACATATCAGAAAAAATATTTCTTAAATTTAAGCAATTAAGAGAAACTTATTTCAAGTACATACATCTTAAATTTTTTTCATTTGGTTTAATGCAGAAATCTGTTTTAGTGAAGTATGTCACTTATAAAATGTAATAAACCAAAATAATCATATTTGATTTATTTGAATTGATAGAAGCAGCATTTATGGTTAACACATATCAAAAATAATCAGAGAACACAATAATCTTTAACCCATTTTTACTTCATAAACTAATAAATTAAGAACTATCTAGAATGCAGCATACATATGAAGTAACTCATAGTATATATTCTTATACCAACATAATTCCAAAATTAACATTACATAATTACAAAATATATTTGACAGTTCATTTTATTTTGAATGCAATTATTTGAATGTAGTTTTTCAGTAGCCAATGAAGCTCATGACTGGTTGCACTTATTAAATTATAAAATGCCTTATTCGCTTCATGTCCTTTCATTGATTTATGATTTCTTTTCCTTTAAAAAGATTTTTATGGCACAGTGGGGTAAATATAGACATTTATGAAATTTTATTTCTGGGGATTTTCTTATTCAGAGCTTGTTTGATGTTTGACATGAAGTTAAATACAACACACAACATGATTTCTTGCCTTATTCTATATCCTCACGTGACATTCTGTAGGCTTTATTGTGAACTGAAATCAATGTATTGAGTATAGAATATCAACTTTAGCTGAAAAAGTAGATGTTGAAAACAAAATTTATGAGCACTGTTCTTCTCTGTGTTATTTGATCGTTACAAGTTGTCATAGTTAGTATGAACAATAAACATTGATTTTACCAAGTCGATAGATCTAAATGTAATACGAGATCATCTATGTAGTTTATTGGATTAAAAAGTAAAGTTGATATTGAGAACACATATAAATATAATTAAAATACCTGAGCCCCTTCCAAGATGAGAGACTAACTGGACTTTATTAAAATATATTTTCAAGTTAAGAATGATAATGAGACTATATTTTATAGTACGGAGAATTTTTGTTGAAAGCTATGTTGTATATTTTATGTGACGTTAATATTATATTCATATGATTGATTACAAAAAGCAAGGTGCTTAAGAAAACTGATCAGAGAGCTTTTTTAAAGTTATATCTAGTAATGAAAAAGAGCTGAAATAAAGCAATCTGGGCTTTTTTTACAGACTTAAAATATTTTGTTGAAACAAAAATAGAATTCTACACTTACAGGGGAGCTTCTTTTCAAAATGTACTCAAATGTTTAAAAAAAATCTACACTGACATCAAACACTTACATCTAAACATCTACACTTAAACCAAACATCTACACTTACAGAAGAGCTTCTTTTCAAAATATACTCAAATGTTTTCAAAACATCTCAATCTTTAGTTAATATTCTGTTTCATACTTTTTTCTATTCTTTGCATCACCTAAAAAGTAGGTGTTCAATGTGAATAAATAACTGCTGTTCTGGAAAGTACAAAACAGCCTCATTAAATCATATATCATTAACTTCTGTCAAAATGTCTTTTGATATACAATGTTAACTTCTGTCAAAATGTCTTTTGATATAAATCTCTCTCCTTCCTTCACTTTCCTTCTCCCTCCCTCCCTCTCTCTCTTTCTTCCTTTTCCCTTTCTCCTTTTTTTTTGTGTATGTGAATTTTCTTTTACCAAATGGGCATCTATTGTTCATGCTCTTTTCAACAATCTGATTATCTTCCAATGTTAATAATACTACACAAACTGTGCAACAAACAATCCAAAATGCAGTGGCTTAAACCACAACCATTTTCTTATATTTCACTCTTTTGTGGGAGAGGAATTTGCACAGGATTCAGATGGATGATTCTTTCATTCTGTGTGGCATAAAAATAGTTCAGTTGGGCATATTCTCTTTAACTGGTGGATTGACAGGTCTGAAGGATTTTGGGGATGCTGCAAGGCTGGGCTTATCTGCAGAATGCTTAAATATGGTTTCTTAGGTAGGATGGGCTCAGGGTTGTTCTTGCAGCTGGCTCGATGTCTCAATAGCAATTGTGTAGTGAATCTGCAGTAACTTTTATGATCAACCTGAAGAATATTGTACGTACTCTAGTGATTCAAGGCAGTCACTCACCCTTTCTGCTCCAATTACATTTTTAGAAAGAAGACAGAGACCTGGACTCTTTATGGAAGAAGTGTCAAATTGTTTGTAGACATGCTTTTAAAATATCATGACTAGTTTTTAAACAACCACATTGTCTTACTGTGTATAAATTATCTAGAAGTTGCTCTCTTTAGATAACTATTTATTAATTTCAGAGTTTTGTTTAATTGAATTTTGCCTTTTTTGTTTTGTTTTATTTTTGTTTTGAGATGGAGTTTTGCTCTTGTTGCCCAAGCTGGAGTGCAATGACATGATCTCTGCTCACTGCAACCTCCATTTCCTGGGTCCAAGCAATTCTCCAGCCTCAGCTACCTGAGTAACTGGGATTACAGGTGCTCACACCCACGCCTGGCTAATTGTTGTGTTTTTAGTAGAGACAGGGTTTCACCATGTTGGCCAGGCTGCTGTAAAACTCCTGACCTCAGGTGATCTGCCCACCTCAGCCTCCCAAAGTGCTAGGATTACAGGCACGAGCTACCGCACCTGGCCAATTGAAATATTTTAATATACACATTTATGTAGCAATTTTTTTCACTGCTATACATTTTTCTTAGATCATTCGAAGAGTGTTTTATTAAGTAGAACTTAGTGGAACAACAATTATACACATTTAAATTACTGATATACTATACAAAATTCCCTTAAAAAATATATGAGAGAAGTGGAAACTGCCATTTTTAATGTTACCAACCTGACAAAAATTTTAACTTATTCTATTATTTAATAATCTAATCTATATTTTCTATTTTTTAAATTAATCTGGAAGCACTTAATATATATTATATTTTTCCATTTTAACAAATGTTATATTCTTTTTGCTTTGTCTGTTATGTTGGCATTAAAAATTTTTAAGATTTATTAGTATTTATGTAATTTTAATTCATATCATTGTTTTACTCCTATAATTAATATTCTTTCAATTATGAATGAAACAAATTGACCTTAAATTCTCACAGAATTTACTTCTCCCCCCCGCCACCAAAGTTTCCAGGTAGTATCTCTACCGACCTGGTACATTAGACCCTATAGAGACAGCAAACATTTCAAAACAATGATATTGATAACTAAGTTCAAAGGGGAATGTTTCTTCAGAATCAGAATTCCTCCATTTACACATTGGAACAAATTAAACAAAACTATATTTCTTGCTTTAACAAAACATTCAGTATGTGACAATGATATGGGCGCTAATTTTTCCATGGAATTTGGGCAATAAATGGGTCCGTGGTAATGATAAAACTAGGTTATTGGTACTTCTTTAACCATTTTTAAAAGAAAAGACACTTCAGGCTGTCAAAGTGAATAGTTAGTTGAACAAAAGTAGAGATTCCTGACTCAAACTTTTAATTGCATTCCATTCAATTAAGGCCATAAAATGTTAAATAAAGCATGTGCTGTCTTACCAATTATTATCTGGTACTTTGGCAGGGATGGATTCATAGAAAATGTAAATTTGCATTTCTCTGATAGCCATTTCTCTGCTCAAAACCACAATGAGATACCATCTCACACCAGTTAGAATGGCAATCATTAAAAAGTCAGGAAACAACAGGTGCTGGAGAGGATGTGGAGAAATAGGAACACTTTTACACTGTTGGTGGGACTGTAAACTAGTTCAACCCTTGTGGAAGTCAGTGTGGCGATTCCTCATGGACCTAGAACTAGAAATACCATTTGACCCAGCCATCCCATTACTGGGTATATACCCAAAGGACTATAAATCATGCTGCTATAAAGACGTATGCACACGTATGTTTATTGTGGCACTATTCACAATAGCAACGACTTGGAAGCAACCCAAATGTCCAACAATGATAGACTGGATTAAGAAAATGTGGCACATATACACCATGGAATACTATGCAGCCATAAAAAATGATGAGTTCATGTCCTTTGTAGGGACATGGATGAAATTGGAAATCATCATTCTCAGTAAACTATCGCAAGGACAAAAAACCAAACACCGTATATTCTCACTCATAGGTGGGAATTGAACAATGAGAACACATGGACACAGGAAGGGGAACATCACACTCTGGGGACTGTTGTGGGGTTGGGGGAGGGGAGAGGGATAGCTTTAGGAGATATACCTATTGCTAAATGACAAGTTGATGGGTGCAGCACACCAACATGGCACATGTATACATATGTAACAAACCTGCACATTGCGCACATGTACCCTAAAACTTAAAGTATAATAATAAAAATAAATAAATAAAATAGAGAAAAAAAATTAAAAAAAATAAAAAATAAATAAAAAAAAGAAAATGTAAACTTGCTCAAACTTTTTATGAGTAAAATTTTATTCTGCCATATATTTGATTGAATATACTTCAATGTTGAAAATATTTTTTCTCATACAAATGAAGGCATTCCTACATTCCATTACCATCTTTATTATTTGGCAAAACATTTAAACTACAACAATAATCAATATTTATTTCCTATAGTGAAACCATTGTAAAGTATACTAACATAGTTTAGTATGAGATTTTTTATTGTATATTATCTGGTATTTGTTCTATAACATATTTTCTAATGTTTTACATATTATTCCAATTTTGCCAATGATAATTTTTATTTATCTGCTATATAATTGTTACAACTTTGTGAAGGATTTCACCTCTTTGAAATTTGTTAGATCTTGAGTGATTCTTCTTGTTCTAAAAATTCACTGTGATCTTTCACTGTGAGCATCCACCTACACACTTAAATTTGTGAGTATGTGAGTGCATGCATGAGTGCTTGTGCATGGGTATGATTCACCTTGCTAGACACTTGATGAATCATTTTAATAATTGTGAAGTATATTCTACATAAAGATATAAAGATAGCATATATATTTAAAATAGATAGTTTAAAGAATAATATGAAGAGGAGTACTCATATACTGCCCAACTAGCTTAGGAAAACAGAAACAAAAACAGAAATAGTGGAGCAGAGCAATAGGGCAGAATAGAGGACTTCATTGACTGTCACCACCCCCCTGCAAAGACACCAATTTACCAACTATTTATACACAAAAAAAGCTTTTACACAAGAACCAAAAATCAGGTGAGTACTCATAGTACTTGGTTTTAACTTCATATCACTGAAAGAGGTACCGAAAAGGTAAAACAAAAACAGGTTTGAATCACCAATGTCACACCTCCATATTCCTCAACAGTGGTGGCATAATGTAGAGAGCAATTCTGTGCACTGAGGAGAGGAAGAGCACAGCAATTGTGATGCATTGAACTCAGTGTCACCCTGTTATAGCAGAAAGCAAAAGTGAACCCATCTCTGCTGATGCCTACCCACAGAGGGAGCATTTGAATGAACCTTGGCCCGAGGAAAATTGCCAAAGCCAGTGGTTGAAATATGAGTTCCCACAAGCCTCACCACTGCAAGCTAAAGAGCTCTGGGGCTCAAAATAAACTTGAAAAGCAGTCTAGGCCACAAGAACCACAACTCCTAAATGAGTCCTAGTGTTGAACTGGGCCAAGAGCCAGTGGACTGGAAGGATGGGGGGTTGTGGAGGAGGAAGCACGTGACCCACTGAGATAGCAGCTAGGGCAGCTAAGGGAGTGCTGGTCTCACTCCTGCCCTAACCCCAAGCAGCACAGCTCATGGCTCCAAAAGTGGTCCCTTGCGTTCACTTGAGGAGAGGATTGAGGAGAGAAGTGAGAAGTCGAGGGAAACTCTGTCTTGCATCTTGGATACCAGCTCAGTCACAGCAGCACAGGGCACCAATCAGAGTGGTGAGGCCAACTTTCCAAGCCAGAGTTTCTGGATGACATTTCTAGACACACCCTGGGCCAAAAGGGAACCTGTTGCCTTGAAGAGAAGGTCCTAAACCTGTCAGGGTTAATCACCTGTTAACTGAAGAGCCCTTGGGCTCTGAATAGCCTGCAGTAATACCCACATTATACCTTGTGGGCCTTGGATAATACGTTGAGACATGCTGGCTTTAGGTGAGACTCAGCACATTCCCAGCTTTGGTGGCCACAGGCTGAGATTCCTTCTGCTTGAGAAAAATGAAATGGAGGGAAAGGTAAAGGGGACTTTGTCTTGTACCCTAGGTTCCAGCTCAGCCACAACGAGTTAGAGCACCAAGTGAGCTCTTGGGGTCCCTAATTCCAGGATGTAGCACTTAGACAGAATTTCTGGGCCTGCTCTGGGCCATAGCGATGCCAACTGTCCTGAATGGTAAGTCTCGGGTTAGGTAGCATTCACCACAAGCTGACTGAAGAGTCCTTGGGCTTTAAGGAAACATCAGCGATAGTCTGGCAGTACTCCCCATGGACCTGTGATGTCAGTGGCCAAGGAGTGAAGCTCCTCTGCCTTTGGAAAAGGGAGAGAATAGGAGGAAAGACTGTATCTTATGGTTTAAGTGCCAGCTCAGCCACAGTAAAATAGAACACTAGGTAGACTTTGAGGGTTTTTGACTCCAGTCCCTGGCTCCCAGAGACACCCCTGGATCTACTCAGTGCCTAGGGGAACTTGTTGACCTGAAAGGAAGGACACAGGCCTGGCTGTTTTACCACCTGCTGATTGTAGCACCCCAGAGCCTTGAGTGAACATAGATGGTAGCCAGGGAGTGGTTACAACATGACTTGCACAAACTCAAGTGCCATGTGGGCTTCAGGTCTGACCCAGCACTGTCCTCATGGTGGGGATCACAGGGGTGCTTATGTCACTCTACACCCAGCTTCAAGTGTCTCAGAGCATAGACATTCAGTTTTTTTTTTTGTTTGTTTGTTTTTTTAAAGGGAAGAGAATAAGAGTCTCTTCCTGGTAATCCAGAGAATTCTTCTGGATATTGTCCAAGACCATCAAGGCAGAACCTCTAGAAGTCTTCACGAATCACAAGAAAATGGGTCTTGGGGTGCCCCACAAAGCGGAGATAGCTTAGACCATATCACCCAAGTCCTTTCAAAGATATGGAAAGCCTTCCCGAGAAGGACAAGTAAAAACAAGCCCAGGTGGAGAAGACTACAATAAATACCTAACTTTTCAATGCCAAACACAGACAAAAATCTGTAAGTATGAAGACCACCCAGGAAGACATGACCTCACCAAATGAACTAAAGAAGGCACCAAGGATCAATGTTGGAGAAACAGAGAAATGTGATCTTTTAAAGAGTGAATGCAAAATAGCTGTTTTAGAGAAACTCAGAGAAATTCAAGATAACACAGAGATTAAATTCAGGATTCTATCAGACATATTTAACAAAGAGATTAAAATAATGAAAAAGAATCAAGCATAAATTCTTAGCTGAAAAATGCAATTGACATACTGAAGTATGCTTAGGAGTCTTCTAACAGCAGAATCAATCAAGCAGAAGAAAGAATTAGTGAGCTAGAAGACAGCTTAGTTGAAAATACACAGAGGAGAAAGAAGCAAAATAATAATAATAATGTAGCATGCCTACAGGATCTACAAGATCAAAAGGGCAAATATAAGAGTTATTGGCCTTAAAAGGGAGATAAAGAGATGTGGTAGAAAGTTTATTCAGAGGGATAATAACAGAGAGCTTCCCAAACCTAGAGAAAAATATCAATATCTAAGCACAAGAAGGTTATGGAACACCAAGATTTAACCCAAAGAAGACTATCTCAAGTCATCGGATTATCAAACTCTCAAAGGTCAAGAATGAAGAAAGAATCCTAAAAGCAGCAGGAGAAAATAAACAAATAACATATAATGGAGCTCCCATATGTCTTTCAGCAGACTTTTCAGTGGAATCCTTACAGGCCAGGAGAGAGTGACATGACATATTTAAAGTGATAAAAAAAAAAAAAAAACTTTTACTGTAGAATAGTACATCTGGCACAAATATCCTTCAAATACGAAGGAGAAATAAAGACTTTCCCAGACAAGCAAAAGCTGAAGGATTTTATTAAGACCATACCTGTCCTACAAGAAATGCTAAACGGAGTACTTCAATCAGAAATAAAGGAGGTTAATGAGCAATAACTAATCATCTGAAGGTACAAAACTCACTAACAATATAGTAAATACACAGAAAAACACAGAATATTGTAACATTGCAACAATGCTGTGTAAACTACTCTTAAGTAGAAAGACTACAATTAATCAAAAATAGTAACCCTAATTACTTTTCAAGACACAGACAGTACAATAAAATATAAATAGAAACAACAAAAACTTAGAAAGTAGGCAGACAAAGTTAAGGTGTGGAGTCTTTATTAGTTTTCTTTTTGCTTGTTTGTTTATGCAGAGCGTGTTAAGTTGTCATCAGCTCAAAATAATGAATTGTAATATGGTATTTTCAAGACTCAAGGTAAACTCAAACCTAAAAATATACAATGAGTATACAGCAAATAAAAAGAAAAAAAACTGGATTATATCACCTGAGAAAATCACCTTGACTAAAAGGAAAACAGGAAGGAGAGAAAGTAAACAGAGAAGGCCACAAAACAAACAGAAAACAAATAAAATAGCAGTAGTAAGTTCTTACATACCAATAATATCATTGAATATAAATGAGCTAAACTCTCCAATCAAAAGACATAGAGTGAATGGAAAAATAAAAAGACCCAATGCCTGTTACATACAAGAAACACACTTCACCTATAAAGATACACATAGACTGAAAATAATGAGATGGCAAAAGATATTCCATTATCAATAGAAACCCAAAAGAGCAGGAGTAGCTATACTTACATCATACAAAATAGATTTCAAGATAAAAACTATAAGAAGAGACAAGAAGGTCACTATAAACTGATAAAGGTGTCAATTCGGGAATAGACTATAACTATTGTACATACATATGCACCTATCATTGGAGCATCCTAACATATAAAGTAAATATTATTAGAGCTAAAGCGAGAGATAGGTTTCAATACAATAATAACTGGAGACTTCAACACCTCACTTTTCACATTGGATAGATCTTCCAAACAGAAAATCAACAAAGAAACATGGAATTTAATCGGCACTATAGAACACATGAATCTAATAGATATTTACAGAACATTTTATTCAAATGGGTGCAGAATGCATATTCTTTTCCTTAGCACATGGATTATTCTCAAATATAGATGATATGTTTGGTCACAAAAAACATCTAAAAACATTCAAGAAATTGAAATTATAACAAACATCCTCTCAGACAATAATGGAATAAAACTAGAAATGAATACTAAGAGGAATTTTGGGAAGTATACAAATTTATGAAAATCGAACAGGATGCCATTTAATGACCAGTGGGTCCATGAAGGTATTAAGAAGGAAATTGAAGAATTTCTTGAAACAAATGGTAATGGAAACACAACATACCAAAACCTATTGGATACGGCAAAAGCAGTACTCAGAGGGAAGCTTATAGCTATAAGTACCTACATCAAAAAGAAGAAAAACTTCAAATACATAATTTAATAATGCAACTTAAAGAACTAGAAAAGGAAGAGCAAACTAAACCCAAAATTAGCAGAAGAAAAGAAATGATAAAGAGCAGAGCAGAAATAAATGAAATTGAAATGAAGAAAACAATTCAAAAAGATCAATGAAACAAGTAGTTTTTTTTGAAAAGTTAAACAGTATTGACAAACATTTAGCCAGACTACAGACTAACTAAGAAGAAAAGAGAGAAGGCCCAAATAAGTAAGATGAGTTGAAAAAGGACACATTGTAACTGGCACTGAAGAAATTCAAAGGCGCATTAGTGGCTCCTATGAGCAGCTGTGTGCTAATACATTGTAAAATCTAAAAGAAATGAACAAATTGCTAGACATATACAACCTACCAAGATTGAACCAGGAAGAAATCCAAAACTTGAACAGACCAATAACAAGCAACGAGATAGAAGCGGTGATAAAAAGCCTTTCAGTAATGAAAAGCCAGGGACTCTATGGCTTCACTGCTGAATTCTATGAAACATTTAAAGAAGAACTAATACCAATCCTATTCAAACTATTCCAAAAAATAGACAATAAATAAATATTTTAAACTTATTCTATAAGGCCAGTATTATCCTGATACCAAAACCACACAAAGATACATCAAAAAAAAGAAAGCAAGAAAGAAAAAGCAAAAAAGCCAAAAAGCTAGAAACAGAAAGAGAGAAGGACAGAAAGGAAGGAAGGAAGAATGGAAGGAAGGAAGGAAGGAAGGAAGAAAGGAAGGAAGGAAGGAAGGAAGGAAGGAAGGAAGGAAGGAAGGGAGAGACTGAGAAAGAGAGAAAGAGAAAGAAAGAAAGAAAGAAAGAAAGAAAGAAAGAAAGAAAGAAAGAAAGAAAGAAAGAAAAGAAAGAAAGAGAAAGAAAGAAAGTTAGAAAGGAAGAAAGAGAAAGAAAGAAAAAGAAAGAAAGAAAGAAAGAAAGAAAGAAAGAAAGGAAAGAAAGAAAGAAAGAAAGAAAGAAAGAAAGAAAGAAAGAAAGAAAGAAAGAAAAGGCAGACAAGAAGGAAGGCAGGAACAGGAAGAAAGAAAGAAAACTATGGGCCAATATCATTGATGAATGTTGGTGCAAAAATTCTTAACAGAATAATAGCAAACCAAATTCAACAATACATTAAAAAGATAATTCATCTTGACCAGGTCTAATTTATCTCTGATATGCAAGAAGGGTTCAACATATACAAATCAACCCACATGTTAAATCGTATCAACAGAATGAAAGATGAAAACCATATGATATTCAATTGATGCTGAAAAAGCATTTGATAAAATTCCCCATCCGTTTTATACCCCCCAAAACTGGGTATAAAAGATATATAACTTAATATAATAAAAGTCATATATTACAGATCAACAAGTAGTATCATACTGAAATGGGAGAAAATGAAAGCCTTTCTCCTAATATCTGGAACACAACATGAATGACCACTTTCACTACTGTTATTCAACACGATACTGAAAGTCCTAGCTAGAGCAATCAGACAAGAAAAAAAAAAGAATCAAAATTGGAAAGAAAGAAGTCAAATTATACTTGTTTGCTGATGATATGATTGTATATTTGTAAAAATCTAAATACTCCAGAAAAAACTGTTAGAAATGATAAACATATTCAGTTAGTTGCAGCAAATAAAATCACCATACAAAAATCAGTAGTGTTTCTATATGTAAACGTTGAATGATCTGAAAAAGAAATAAAAATGTTAGTCCTATTTAAAATAGCCACAAAAAACTAAATACCTAAGAATTAACTTAACCAAAGAAGTGAAAGATCTTTATAATGAAAACTATAAAACACTGATGACAGAAATTGTAGAGGACACAGAAAAGTGAAAAAATATTCCGTTCTCATGGATTGAAAGAACCTATGTTGTTAAAATGTCCATGCTATCCAAAAAGATATACACATTCAATGCAATACCTATCAAAATACCAATTACATTCTCCACAGAAATAGAAAAAAAATCCTTAACTTTATAGCCAAAGCTATCTTAAATGAATAGCACAATACTTGAGGAATCACACTACCTGACTTCAAATTATTCTACAGAGATATAGTAACCAAAACAGCATGTATTGGCATAAAAACAGACACATAGGCCAATGTATCAGAGTAGAGGACTCAGAAACAAACCCACACACTTACAGTGAATTCATTTTCAACCAAGGTGCCAACAACATACATTGGGGAAAAGATGATCTCTTCAATAAATGATGCTATCTCTCATCATAAACAAAAATCAACCAAAAATATATTAAAGACTTAAATCTAGTACTTCAAACCATGAAACTACTATAAGAAGACATTGCAAAAACTCTCCAGGACTTTGGCCTGGGGAAAAAATTATTGGGTAATACTCCAAAAGAACAGACAACCGAAGAAAAAATTGACAAATGCGGTCACATCAAGTTAATAAGATTATGCCCAGCAAAGGAAACAATCCAAAAGTAAACAGAAAACCCATAGAATGGGAGAGAACATTTTCAAACTACCCATTTGACAAGGGATTAATAAGCGGAATACAAAAGAAACTTAAACAACTTTATAGGAGAAAAAAATCTAATAATTCGATCAAAAATGGGTGAGCTATTTGAATTAGATATTTCTCAATAGAAGACAAACAAATGGAAAACAGGCCTATGAAAAGGTGCATTGATCATTAGAAAAATGCAGATCAAAACTACCATGAGATGTCATCTCACCCAAGTTAAAATGACTTATATACAAAAGATAGGCAATAACAAATCCTGGTGAGGATGTGAAGAAAAGGGAACCATTTTATGCTGTTGGTGGAAATGTAAATTATTGCAACCACTATGGAGAAAAGCTTAGAGGTTTCCTTCTCAACAAACTAAAAACAGAGCAACCATATGATCTAGCAATCCTACTGCTGGGTATATACTCAATAGAAAATAAATCAGTATATTGAAGAGCTATCTCCACTCCCATGTTTGTTGCAGCATTGTTCACAATAGCCAAGATTTGGGAGCTTAGATTTGACCACCAACAAACGAATGGATAAAGAAAATGTACCTATATACAATGGAGTACTATTTAGTAATAAAAAAGAATGAGATCCTGATTATTTGCAACAACATGGATGAAAATGGAGGTGCATTATATAAAGTGAAATAAGCAAGACACAGAGAGACAAACGTCACATGTTCTCACTTATTTGTGGGATCTAAAAATCAAAACAATTAACTCATGGAAACAGAGAGTAGAAGGATAGTTACAGGAGGCTGGGAAGGGTAATTGTGGGTTGGAGTGGAGTGGCAGCGATAGTTAATGGGCACAAATAGTAAGAATAAGACCTATTATTTGATAGCACAACAGGATGGTATAGTCAATTTTAATGTAATTATGTATTTAAAAATAACTAAAAGAATAATTAGATTGTTTGTAACAGAAAGGATTAATACTTGAAGGGATAAATACCCCATTTTCCATGATGTGATTACTATGCATTGGTTACCAACATCAAATCATCTCATGTATCTCATAAATATATGCACTTACTATATACCCAAAAAAATTAAAAACAAAAACCTCCATTTTATAACCCACTCTATTTTTTTGGGGGGAATGCATTTTGTTTATATCCAACATTTTTTGTAAATATCTATGTATAATTTACATATTCTGGATACTACTCCTTTGTAAGTTACACATGTGGGGATTTTGTCTTTCTCTTATGATGCACTTTGATAGAGATAACTTACGTAATACAGTTCATTCTACCTAAAATATGTGATTGGCTCTTTTTCTTCTGTGAAGAAGTCATTCTATACTCAAACAATATTCTTCAATATAAATTATTGACCTCAAAAAAAGTTCCTACATTGTGGAAGGCATTGTTGTAAGAAATTTTTAAATAACTTGTTTAGTGCAGACAGTCTAGATCCAGATTTTATGTTGCTATTTACACTGAAACCTATTAATATTTTGTTACATAGTCTCAACTACATTTCCATGCAATTTATATTTCTTTACAGATAACAAATTTATTCATGGCCATTTATTGAAGAATCAAATCTTTTTCTAATCAGCCTTCAATGACACCTCTATTCTATTAATTATCATTACATGGTTTAATCAATTTCTTGACTTAATTTTTTCATTACTCTATTCATTTCTCTGAAACTATCAGCATGTCTTAATTACTGCTGTTTATATTAAATCTTGATAATTGGTAGATAAATTCTCTTATCTTTTCTTGGCTGTCAGTTCATCTTGGCAATGTTAAATGTGTTATGAAATGTTTTGTTATTTAATGTGAAAACATCAAATAAAATTTTGATTGAAATTTTACTAAATTAACACATTTGCATGATTGAGTTTTCTAGGCCATGAACATAATGCATACTTCCATCTATTTATCACTTCCATAATTTCTCTTAATAATATTTTATAGTTTATTGTGTAGAATTCTGTGGATTTTTGTGTTGTTATGTTGTTTTTAATACTTATTACTACATATTTTAATTTTTAATATTATTAAAAATTCTGAAATGATGAATAAAATAGTGAAAATAGAAACAGTTTTCCCATAATTTTATGGAGAATGCATTTGAAGTTTCACAAATATGGTATATCTTATAATTATTTATGAAGTTGTGCATTTCTCTCAATACTCTATAGATGTCTGTATCATTGTCTTGTGAATCTTTTTTCTTTGTTGTTTTTGAGACAGAGTCTCACTCTGTCACGCAGGCTGGAGTGCAATGGCGCTGTCTTGGCTCACTGCAACCTCCGCCTCCCTGGTTCAAGTGTTTCTCCTGCCTCAGCCTCCCAAGTAGATGGGATTACAGGCATCCACCACTACAACCAGCTAATTTTTATATTTTTAGCAGAGACGAGATTTCACCAGGTTGGCCAGGCTGGTCTCAAACTCTTGACCTCAGGTGATCCAACCCGCTTGGCCTCCCAAGGTTCTGGGATTATAGGCGTGAGCCACTGCTCCCGGCCCCATGAATCGTTTAATATTTAGTCATATATACTTTATTTCTTGGATGATATTTTTACTATTATTTAAAATTTTATAGCCTACTGTTTAAATTACTTAAATTAATCTTAAGAATGTTATATAGTCTTCTTTAATTACATTATTAAATTCAGCTTGATAATATTTTATGGTGGAATTTTTGCATTTGTATACCTGTGTGTGAAATTAGCATCTA
The DNA here is from genome assembly GCF_000001405.40 of Homo sapiens. Lineage (NCBI taxonomy): Eukaryota > Metazoa > Chordata > Mammalia > Primates > Hominidae > Homo > Homo sapiens. The sequence continues at coordinate 87,225,992 of NC_000013.11, read as the reverse complement.
ATTTCTCCTTTCCTGATAACTCCTTTCAATCCCAAATATATACTAGAATATTTTTTAAAATCTTAGTTGAAATAATTTGAGTAAAGTTGGCTTTACTTAACCACATTCAATGTTTGTTAAGATTTAGCTATTATGTGATTCAGTCTTGAAGTTTCTTTGTGAGAATGTTCTAATCATTGATTACATATATTCAGTAAATACATAAGTATTCAAATTTTCTATTTCTAGCTGTGTCAAATTATGTGGCATTTTTCAAAGAAACTTCTGAATTTTTAAAATAAAAAGTTCATATTTAGTTGGAGAATGTTGATTTTGTTCTCTCAGTAAGTTTTAGTGATATCCATAGGACATATTCCTAAGCTTCTCACTCCTCTTTCTATTCTTAATTTTGATAAATTATGTATGATTTTTGGTGGACAGATTCCTCAGTTGTTTTGTACAGTGTTACATATGTGTCCATTAGATCATGTTTTCTCCACAAAATTGTCCAAGTCACACTGAAATTTTGTCCATTGTTTTCACACACAGTGATTGAGAATTGTTTTGCATTTGCCTAGTATAACAAAGGGTTTGCTCAAATACCCAGGTAGTTCAGTGAAATTTTGCACGTCAACAGCAGTTTACTGTTGTTTGTTGCTAGTCTTAATCTCCCACCCGCACCAAGGAATGAGCAGCCGAGATCTCTTACTAGCTTGCTCAGGTGCTATGCAGGAGGGACACAGAGGTGGATTAAGCTTAAAAGCTGTATAAGTCTTATTAAAATGTCAGGAAACAACAGATGCTGGCTAGGCTGTGGAGAAATAGGAAGGCTTTTACATTGTTGGTGGGAGTGTAAATTAGTTCAACCACTGTGGAAGCCAGTGTGGCAATTTTTCAAATATCTAGAACCAGAAATACCATTTGACACAGCAATCACATTACTGGATATATACCCAAAGGATTATGAATTATTCTTCTATAAAGACACATGCATATGTATGTTTACTGCAGCACTATTTACAATAGCAAAGACTTGGAACCAACCCAAATGCCCATCAATGATGGACTGGATAAAGAAAATGTGGCACATATACACCATCGAATAATATGCAGCCATAAAAAAGAATGAATTCATGTCCTTTGCAGGGACATGGATGAAGCTGGAAGCCATCATTCTCAGCAAACTAACACAGGAACAGAAAACCAAACACTACATGTTCTCACCCATAAGTGGGAGCTGAACAATGAGAACACATGTACATGGAGAGGGGAACATCACACACCGGGGCCTGTCGGGGGATGGGGGGCAAGGGGAGGGAGAGCATCGGTACAAATACGTAATGCATGCGGGGCTTAAAACCTAGATGATGGGTTGATAGGTGCAGGAAACGACCATGGCACACATATACCTGTGCAACAAACATGCACGTTCTGCACATGTAACCCAGAACTTAAAATAAATTTTTTTAAAAAGCTGTAGAAGTCAACATCAAAAAAATGAGTCATACTATTTTTACAATTACATAGAAAAACAGCCATCCGCCATTCCTCTAGTTATGGTATAGTCAGCATAATCACCAAACTAGGTGCATAACATTAGTCAATTTTTTTCTCTATCCTTTCATTACTACTGGTTTATCCTACACAATTTTTGTTTAACCTCTGTGTGTGTGTATACCCATGCTGTTTCCCATTTTCTAATCTAACTGTCTTTATCCAGCATCAGTGCACTATTCCTATCTCTTCCAAGTCTCCAATCTTCTAGAGTCTGAGTATATAATCTTAATGAGATTAAACATCCATTCTTTTGCGAAGCCAGGAAATGAATGTTTGTATCTTCTACAATATTGATTTGGCACATGCCTCACATTTGGTAGATTATAAACTTCATGACAAATCTATGGCATTTTCACCATTTTACAGTATAGTACATAATGGCTTAAATACAGTAAAATCTGTAATATTTCTGAGTCTTGTAGAAACAGGAATATAGCAATTATTTAACCTTGTATTTGAAAGAATAAATGGAGATACTTATAAAATAAAAATGTATTTAAATTTGCTTTGAAATCTCATTGCACTGAAACTATTTCCAATTCATTCTGAGGATATGCATGTATATGATTTAACTTTAAGTCCCTATTTTGGTACATTCAATAATACCCTTGAAAGAGCGAAACTGTTTTGGTTCCTGCCCAAGCTCACAGGGAAAAAACCCTCCCCAAGAAGGAGGAGGGTGTTACCTGGCAGCCAGACTTTTGGAGAGGAGGCAGCTCCCAGCCTGCTGGGTCAGGGCTGTTTGGCATGTGTTCTCCCAGCTGGGCCGGACTGAAAGTCTTAAACTGTAAGCCTATGAACTGTGGAGAAGCAGCCAATCTTCCTACTTGGGACTGAGGGGATCCCAGCTGGGCACCCGGGGTCAATCTTGAGCCAAAACCCCAGTCACCCACTTTGGCCTGCTGGCTATGACACAGGTAGCCGAGGAGATGAAGGATCTCCGTGCCAGGAGCCAACCTGGTCTTCCTGATGGGCAGTGCCCCAGTGAAGACAGAAGTGTCTACATAAAGTTCCCTGTAGGTCCTCTGTAAAAAAATAATAAGAAGAATTCCCTCACATTTGCAATTCTTAGGCAAATGTACAAAACTTTAGCATCTCCTTAGAATGGCAGAGTATTGCAATGTTTTATTTCCAGTCTCTCATCTTTTACTATTTATATGTTACTTATCCTTGGGCTTTGCCTTACAGCTTGAGCAAATACCATTTCATATAGTTGTAAAAGATAATTGTACTCACAAGACCTCAGCGTGTATTAAACATCAACTTCTTATGTTAATTCCGCAGATACTCACTCATATTTTCAAGCAACTACAAAAAAATCAGAATTTAGATTTAAGTAAAAATTTAGATTTAAGTAAGAAATTAATAATTTCTTTAGGCTTTTTTTTTTTGGAAAAATACTTAGGTTGCCAAATTAAACTCTAGAGATTCCATGATAAAAACCACATATGTGATAATGTCACAAAGGTTTGGAAAATACTATTTAAAATATATTATTTTAACTATGAAAATAAATTATTTACTTTACATTGAATATAAAAAAAAAAAACACACCTGAAAGCAAGGGCTTTAAAATGCTTTCAGCAATTTTAAAGCCAGGATTGGAATCAGAGAAGGGATCAAGGAGCTATTGCTTTCAGCAAGGCTGGTTCCAAGTAGTTTTGGAACAAAAGGAGGATAGCAGCCCTAATCTATATAAGCTGGGAAGGTGGGCAATATTTATATCTACAGAAGTCTCCTCACTTCACAAAATGATTGTGCTTATTCTCTGGAATATAATATATTATATCTCAATATATATAACTCCATAGTAAACATACTAATGTATTTATTGGATTTTCTGTACAAATTGGTTTTGCTTGACATACGTGTGTATACCCTAAAACACGATTCCTTCATTCATTTATAATTGTTTGGAGGATAAAATTTAGAAGTTTTAAAGTCCAGAAATATGTCTCAATGTATGATAATAATTGTTATTAACAATAAATAGTAATCCTGACTTTGAAAGAAAGTCTCATAGACCCTTACTGTCTTTTTGGTTTTGACTCAAAACAGCAGAAATTTATTTTCTTGCACTTCTAGAGGCTAGAAATCAAAGGTGGAATTGTCAGCAGGTCTATGCTCTTTCTCAACCGTCCAGGGGAGAATATTTTTTGCCTCTTCTTAGCTTCCGGTGATTGTCAGAAATCTTTGGTGCTCCCTCATAGATGTATAAGGACTTATATAGATTTATAAAGAAATACAGATTATAGATTTATAGGTTTAGGGCTGCATCACTCTAATCTCTGACTCATCATCATATATGTTTACTCTGTGCATCTGTGTAAGACTTGACATGACATTCTCCTTGCTGTGTTTGTCTGTTTTTTCTTTTTAAAAATATTAATTCACAATTAATATTTGTATATAATTATGGGGTAAAATGTAATATGTTGATATATGTGTATATTGTAGAAATCATAAACCAAGATAATTATCATAACCATAATTGCACCTACTTATTTTTTGGGTGAATGTATTTTAAATCTACTCTTTTAGAGATTTTGAAATACACAATATTATTGTTATTAACTATGCTCACCATGCTGTGCAATAAATCACCAAAATTTATTTCTTCTGAACAACTGAAACTTCATACCCTTTGAACAACATCTCTTCTTGCCTTATGTCTGGTAACCACCATTCTACTCATGTATCTATGAGTTTAACTTTTTTAGACTCCACATATAACTGAAATTATGTATTATTTTTCCTTCCTTTCTAGGCTTCTTTCATCTTGCATAATGTCCTCCAGGTTCACTCATGTTGTTGCACATAGTAGAAGTCTCTTTTTTAAGGGGATATAATGTTACATAACAATACATTACAATATACATAATATTACATATATATTATTTATCTATTCATCTATTAATGAACACTTAGCTTGTCCATATTTAGATTATTGTGTATAGTGCTGCAATGGATATGAGAGTGCAGATATCTCCTTGACATACTGCCTTCAATTCTTTTGTGTATATACCCCAAATGGAACCTCTATTCTGGTTTTTGTTTGTTTGCTTGTTTATTTTTAGGTGGAGTCTCGCTCTCTTGCCCTAGCTGACATGTAGCGGTGCAATCTCTGCTCACTGCAACCTCTACCTTCTGGTTCAAGTGATTCTCCTGACTCAGTCTCCTGAGTAGCTGGGATTACAGGCACACCCCACCACGCCAGGCTAATTTTTGTAGTTTTAGTAGAGAGAGGGTTTCGCTATGTTGGCCATGCTGGTCTCAAACTCCTGGCCTCAAGTGATCCGCCCGCCCTGGCCTACCAAAGTCCTGGGATTACAGGTGTGAGCCACCGTGTCTGGCCCATACTGTTGTTTTAAATGGCTGTATTAATTTACATTCCTATTAACAATTACTAAGGTTTAATTTTCTCCTCATCCTCACCAATTGTTCCTTTTTCTCTTTTGGTAATAGCTGTTCAATCTCATGTGAGGTGACATCTCATTGTGGTTTCAATTTCAATTTCTCTGATGGTTGACAGATGTTCAGCACTTTTTCAGATACCTGTTGTCTCCTAGTTGGTCTTTATTTTAGAAGTGTTTGTTTGGTTCCTTTGCTCATTTTTTAAACGGGTTATTTGTTTTCTTGCAATTGTTGTTTGAGTTCCTTATATATTTTGAATATTAGCTTTTTATGAGATGTATAGTGTGCAAATATTACTCCCACTTTATGGATTATCCCTTCACCTTGTTAATTGTTCCCTTTGCTGTGCAAAAGACTTTTAATTTGGTGTAATCCTATTTATCTATTGCTGCTTTTGTTGCCTATACTTTTGGGGTCTTATCCAAGAAATCATTGCCCACACCAATGTCATGGAGATTGTTCTCTGTTTTATTACAGTAATTTTACAGTTTCAGATCTTATTTTTAATTGTTTAATTCATTTTGAGGTGATTTTTTAAATGTGGTGTGAGATAACTTCAAATTTCATACTTCTGCATTTGTTTATCCAATTTTCTCTATACCATTTATTGAAAAGACTATTCTTTCCTCATTGTGTGTTTTTGCCACTTTTGTCAACAATTAATTGACTGTAAATGTGTGGGTATATTTATGGGCTTTCATTGCTGTTCCATTGGTCAATCTTCCTGGTTTTACACCACTACATGCTATTTTGATTAAAATAGCCTTATATTTTGAAATGAGGGATTGTAATGCTTCCAGCTTTGTTTTTCTTTTTTTTTATTTTTTTATGTTTTACTCAATATTTCTTTGGCTATTTGGTGTCTTTCGTGGTTCCATTTAAATTTTATGATTTTTTATTATATTCCTGTGAAAAACAGCATTATCATTTTGATAGAGATTTCATTGAATCTGTAAACTGCCTTGGGTACTATAAATATTTTATCAATACTGATTCTTCTAATCCATTAATAAGGAATATCATTTTATTTGTGTTATCATCATTTTTAAATCAGTGTTCTATAGCTTACAGTATATTGATCTTTCACAATTTTGATTAAAATTACTGCTATTTTTGATACTTTTATAAGTGGTATTGTTTTCTTAATTTCATTTGTGAATAGTTCATAGTATGTTGAATCACTACAGACTTTTTACATATTGATCTTGTATCTTGATACATTACAGAACTGGCTTATTTCTTCTAACAGTATTTTTGGTGAAGTCTTTAGAATTTTCTATATATTAGATTATGTCATCAGCAAACAGACACAATTTCACTTCTTTTCTATTTGCGTTGCATTTTTCAATTTTCTAGCCTAACTCTTCTGGCTAGGCTTTCTAGTACTTTGCTGACTAGAAGTTGTCAGAGTGGGCATATATGACAAACCCCCAGCTAACATCATACTCAATGGCAAAAAGTTGAAAGCTTTTCCTCTAAGATCAGTATCAATTATCATTTTAAATGCAGTATTGTAGACTAAATCAATATTTGTATGGTATATGTAAAACATGTATTTTAAAGTATGTTACAATATGAATGTATTTGTTTTAATGTAGTTGCTTGCATATTGACATTGCTTGTTCTTATGCTATCATGCAACAAAACATTTATTAGCATTTCAAACAGGTTCAGCGGTTACTGTAACTGGTGATTTCTAAACTTAAATTGGGGCAAATGGCTATAGTGCAGAGTAATGCTGTCCCTGGGCACTGCGAATGCAAGGCTGAAGAATTAACAGCCACCCCTCAGATGCAGGACCAGGTGCAGGGTCGACACTTTCTGGATTTTATAGTCAGAAAGAGTGTGGACATCTTCCAGCTGCTTGCCTGTGAAGATGAGCCTCTGCTGGTCTGGAGGATGTCTTCTTTATCCTGGATCTTGGTTTCACATTTTCAATGATGTCACTGTCTACCTCCAGGGTGACAGTCTTGCCAGTGAGGGTCTTCACGAAGATCTGCACACCACCTCTCAGACAGAAGACCAGGTGCAGGGTCGACCAGGTGCAATGTCAATATGCAATCACCCCATTAAAGCAAATACATTTATATTGTCAGTATGATTTTGTGCATTTTAACTACACAACCCAATAACATGCCATTCACAAATACAAAAACAGAGGAAAAACTTGTGGGATGATAATCTGAAATGTCATGCTTCTTATACTGTTATGTTCTCAAATTGAGGCACCACATTTTATGTGGGAAACTAAAAATTTAAAGAAATCAATAGAAGCAGATAATAGAGTTACATTTTTCAGATTCTTCAACATTCAAGAAATTTTAGGATTTTCTGTATGATATGAACATTCTATTTATAATTGTCACTTTTAATATTTACATAAATAAACATATGTAGAATCAGAAATACATACAGATTTACAAATATTACCCAGAAATAAGATTATCAATCACAGACTTTCTGGTGGTATTATCATCTGAAAGTTATTATCATAGATTTTACTATTGATAAACCCCAAAATATAAACTTTTGGAGGCCAGGGAATAGTTCAAATTTCAAAACACTCTATGACTAAGGTCAGTGATTATTTATTAGAATTGCAGTATTATGTCAACTAAAAGAAAGGGCACCTATTCCTTCATTCCCCCAGTCCAATTTCCCAAGAAAATACAAACAAACTCTACAAGCAACTGTGAATTCACAGTTACTCTCTTTGGACAGCCACTAGATCAGAGCTCTTTATTTTAACACAGTTGGAGAGAATTAGGAAAGTCTAGAGTGGATTATATGCTAGTTTAAAGTGAGCCATGTGCAAGGAAAAAATACAGTAAGACAATTTGAACAAAATTCACTGATGCTGCAGCTTAAACATTTCATCTATATTTGGAAGGGGAGAAGATGAAATTTTGAACGTCTTTTTATTCCTGATGAATAAGTCATAGACAACATTCTCAGGACAAAAAGCAAAACAAAAAAGGTCAATGATAATTTAAAAAGTAGTTGTAGAGAGGCAGATTAATAGTAAGTAAAGAAGGTCAACCCAACCAAAGCAGATACCAAACAGAATAAAAAGTGTAAGGATTCTGAAGTGGTGGCAATTAGAGGATCAGCGTGTGTCCTCCATTTAGGAGTTTGAGTGTGGGTGTGAATGTGTGTATGTGTGTCTATTCTTCTGTATGTCATTCATTAAGCCATTATGCTAATAAAGCAAATTGTAGGACAAAAGACAATCTGTTCTCTAAGAACATTTCACCTATCCAAGAGCTTATAAGCTAGTGAGAGTTAACTTTATTTCAAATAATGAGCTACCTGTTACATGGTTGTAAAGTTGAATGATGAATGTTGTTTTTGAAACTGAGAACTTAAAGGATTACATATACACAGTAATATTTCATACAATTTGATTTAGATGATAAATATACATATTGCCAAGATATATGCTATCCAGAAAACGTAGTTTTTTTATATAAGAGTTGGAAAATATAAAGAAGTTAAAGGTAATATTTAAGCCAAGTCTTGAAATCAAATTGACATTTTCTAGATGTGTTTGACTTCTTTCTCTACCAAGAAAACTATTGAGTTCAGGTACATACGACCTCTTCAGCTCTCCACTTCACCCTCGCCACTTCAATTTTTAGCCATACTCTACCTCTCCCTGCAATTACAATGTTAAACTTTCTTTATTGTCCTCAAGATTCACAGCCTTCCTGCACTCTCAATGTCAGTAGATGTTATTTTCTATTTCAGAAAGTATAGAAGTATTTGAAACACCTCATCTTTCCATTAAATCCTTCAAACACACCACAATCTGTTCCCATGCTCTACCTCTCCCATCCTATTAAAAATGCTTTTTATTCCTGATTGGAGGCAATTTCTCAGCTGTGATTTACATTTTACTTTCCATTTGCTTCAACTGTTTAAATTATTAATCACAGTTCTCTCTTCTTTATTTTCAACCCTGCTTCTTACTGAGGATTTATCTCTTTAGCATTTAAATATGTTCAAATATACTCTATCTTAAAAAGTAAGTTTTTTCTGAAACCCACTTGCCCTTGCTGCTATGGCTTTATCTCTGATTAACCCATTCACATAAACAAAAAAAAAAAAAAAAAAAGAGAGAGAATCTCAGAAGTGATGTCTTCACTTACGGTATCCAATTTCTTATTTTGCAGTTGCTTTTCAAGTCAATTTCATTCGAATTTTGCCACTTAATTCTGTGAAATTGATTGTTGGTAGCAGTAGAGAAAACTCTTTAGTCTTCAACTTTGTTGAAAGTACAACTCTCATATTTATCTGTGAAAACACTAAAGCATCACTGGGCTTTTCTAAACTTCTGCACATATCCCTTGATCTGACCTGCTGTGAAATCCCCACTGGTCCTTTAGTATCCAGCAGATTATATTAATATCACAGCATTACCAGACATTTTTTCAATAAAATAATATAAAGAAGTTTACATGTATTATAAATACTATTTTAGAACCATTTTACGTGATTTATTTCACTCAACATACAGATAAAGGATCTTTGTTGAATATATAATATCCAAAATTTTTCCTCAATGTTTTGAAGCTTATCTTTAATCACACATTTACGATTTGTTGAGTAAATTAAAATTTGTAGAATTAAAGTTGCTCAGTGTGAATTATAAAAACCATATCAATTTTTATTAAATTTCTGCCTTTTTTCTAAGAGAGTGAAAGAGAATAAAGAAGGAAAGAGGAAGAGAGAGAAAAGATTAAAAAACACATGTCACTTTTTATACAAAGAAAGTACAAATTTTAGAGAAAAATTAGAAAACGTAGGTAATTAACATACAGAAAATGTAAAATACTCAAATTTCACTAGTAAGCAAGCAACTCTTAACAGACTGGAAAAATACTCATTTGGCTCTAGCAGAGCTATTCTAACCAAAGCAGGAGGTTTAGCTAAAGCTCAAAACATCTTCAGTGCTCTATGATTTTCACTACTCCTTAACATTTTAAAACAACTCCTATTTAAAAAGATAATGATTACATTTAAATATGTTTAAAGTAAGATTTTAAAATCAAGATTTAAAAAGAAAATTCTTCAGTAATGTAACAATTTTACCACATAAAAATATTAAATAAATGACCAGATATTTTGGTTTCTATTTATGGGTTTCAAGGGCCTTTTAACATAGTTATATAATAATTCCTTTTTTCCCTTTTCTGCACTACTTATAATTATTTCAGATCTTACAAAGTTGTCTTAAGTACCAATGTTCAGGCAATAGATTTGAAGAAAAATTATTTATAACAATACTTATTCAAGGTATCATTTAATTAGCTCTTAAAATATTCAAAGCACTTGGCGCACCACGTGGAATTATCTCATTTGTTCTTCACATCAAATATGGCTTATATCTTAGTGTTTTCATACTATAAAAGTAAAAGAGTTAAATAACTCACTTAGTTTATTAAGTGGGGAGCAAGGTTTTGAACCAAGTGTTATCAGAGTCTGAAGCACATGCATTTATACACCAAGTGAAATGTTCCTCATCTCTGGGTTGCTCTCCTTGATATTATACATGGTAATTAATGTGGTGAGTTTATTTAGTAAAGTTGTATGGCATGGATATAGAAACAATTCAAAATGAATTTGATTTTTGGAGCACTTTTAGATTTGCAGCAAAACTGTAAAGAAGACACACAGGTGTCTTATATATTCCCTGCATCCCCACCACATACAGCCTCTCCTATTATCAACATCCCCCAGTAAAGTAGTTCATTTGGAACAGCTGATGATCCTACATTGATGCATCATTATCAACCAAAGCTCATAGTTTATGTTAGGGTTCACTATTGGTGCAACACATTTTATGGGTTTGTATACATTTATAATGAGATGTATCCAGCATTATAGAATCATAGATTATTTTCACTGCTCTAAAATTTTCCTGTGTTCTACGTATTCATCCCTTTGTTTCTCCTAATTTCTCACAACAACTGATCTTTTTACTTTCTCCATAGTTAGTTTTCCAGAATGCCGTATTTTTAGAATTGTGTAATGTGCACATTTTTTTAGATTGGCATCTTTCACTTAGTAATATATATTTAATTTCCTCCATTTCTTTCTGTGTCTTGAGAGCTTATTTTTTGTAGTCCTGAGTAATATTACATTAGCTGGATGTATCACAGTTTTTTATTTATTCATTAACCTATAGAGGGGCATCTTGGTAACTTCCACGTTTTGGAAACTATGAATAAAGTTATTAAAAACATCTGTGTGCAGGTGTTCGTGTGGACATACGTTTCCAATTCCTTCAGTTAAATATCCAGGAGCATAACTACTGGATGAACTGATAAGAGTATGCTTGTTTTGTAAAAAACAGGGCAAATGTCTTCCCAAGTGGCTCTCACATTTGGCACTGCCACTAGCAAGGAGAGTTCCTGTTGTTCCATATCCTCGCCAATATTTAGATTTGTCAGTGTTGTGAATTTTGGCTGTTCTGATACATAGCGATAACTCATTGTTGATTTAATTTGCATTTCCTTAGTCATATATGATGTGGAGCATCTGTTCATGTACTTATTTCTAATCTGTGCATTTTCCTTGGTGTGGTGTCTTCAGTTCTTTTGCCCAACTTATGATCAAGTGTCAGTATTTTCATTGAGTTATAACAGTTCTTGATGTGTTTTACACAACAGTTCTTATCAGATATGATTTTTTGCAAATATTTTTCCCAGTTTGTGAATAGCTTTTTCATTCCATTAATAATGTCTTTCGGAGAGCATAATTTTTTTTTATTTTAATCAAATACATTTATCTTTTTGTAATGTATTATGCCTTTGATGTCATATCCAAAAATTTATCACCAAACCGAAGATTATTTATATTTCCACTTATGTTATATTCTAGGTGTTTTATAGTTTTTCATTTTGCATTCAGTTTTATATTACATTTTAAGTTAATTTTTGTAAATGGCATGTGTGTGTATATATTATATATATATTTTTTTTGCTTTGCACATAAATCTCCCATTTGTTAAAAACACTTTTTTCCATTGCATTACTTTTTTCTTTTGACAAAGATCAGCTGACTATATTTATGGGTCTATTTCTGGACTTTCCAGTCTGTTCCATTGATATATCTGTCTATTCCTTCACTAATGCTATACTGTCATCGTTAGTGAAATTATAAAGTAAGTCTTGAAATGAGATAGTGTAAGTTCCCTAACTTTGTTCATATTCTTTAATATTGTTTTCACTATTATGGGTCTTATCACCTCTCCATGTAAAGTTTAGATTCAGTTTATTAATATCTGCAAAATAACTTGCTGGGATTTTCATTGAGATTGCATTCAATCTATACATTAAGTTGAGAGAACTGGTGTCTTGTTAATATGGAGCCTTCTATTCATAAGCACGAAATAGCTTTCCACTTATTTAACCCTAATTTGATTTGTTTCATCCAAGTTTTGTAGTTTTCTTCATATAAATTTTTATATATTTTGTTAGAATCACACACAAATATTTCATTTTGGAAAGTGTTAATGTAATCTGTATTTTGTTTTTAATTTCAAATTCCATTTGCTTATTGCTGGTATAGAGGAAATTAACTGAATTTATGTATTTGTCTTGTACGCTAGGCCCTTATAATTGCTAATAAGTTAGAGGAATTTTTCTCAAATTTTAAATTTCTTTTTAAATAGACAATCATGTCATCTGTGAACATATACTTCTTTATTTCTTATTTTCCAGTCACTATACACTTTTATTTTTTCTTTTCCAGTCACTATACACTTTGTTTCTCTTCCTTTTCTTATTGCATTAGCTAGGACTTCCAGTATTATGTTGCAAAAGGGTGGCAAGAAAAAAACATGTTTGCCTTGTTTCTAATCTTACAGGGAAAGCTTCTAATTTATCACCATTAAGTATGATGTTAGCTGTAGGTCTTTTGTATACATTCCTTATCAAGTTGAGGAAGTTCACCTCTATTCTTTCTTTCTTCTTTTTTTTTTTTTTCTTTTTTTTAATACAGTTTCACTCAGTCGCCCAGGCTGGAGTGCAGTGGCACTGTCTCAGCTCACTACAACCTCCGCCTCCCAGGTTCAAGTGATTCTCCTGCCTCAGCCTCCTGAATAGCTGGGACTACAGGCACCCGCCATCATGCCCAGCTAATTTTTGTATTTTTAGTAGAGGCAGGATTTCATGATGTTGGCCAGGCTGGTCTTGAACTCCTGACCTCAGGTGATCCACCCACTTTGGCCTCCCAAAGTGCTGAATTTACAGGCGTGAGCCACCGCACTCAGCCCATTTTTTTATTGTTATTTTGAATGAACGTTTATTGATTTTGTTGCTCTTTTCAAAAAAAAAAAAAAGAAAACAGCTTTTTGTTGTTGATTTTTGTTGTTCTTTATTGATTTTCTGTTTTCAGTCTCATTGTCTATTACTCTAATTTTTATTTTATTTTCTCTGTTTATTTTGTATTTACTCTTTTTCTAGTTTCCTAAGGTAGAAGCTTAGACTAAAGATTTTTGTTGTTTTTTATTTCTTTTCTAATATATGCTTTTAATGCTATACATGTTCAGCTACATTTCAATTATTGATTTTTAGCTTAATTCTATTGTTTTTTGAGAGCAGACATTGTATGATTTATATTATTTAATGTGTATTTTATGGCCCAGCATATGGTCCATGTTGGTGAATGTTATATGTAACATTCTGAGGTTATTGATTAAAGTATTCCATAGTTATAGATTATTCCCAATTAATTGATGGTGATTTTGAGTTCAACTATGTCCTACCTGATATTCTGCCTCTTGGATGTGACCACGCATAATAGATGTTTAAATCACCAACTACGATAGTGAATTTTTTTTCTCCTTGCTGTTCTATCAATTGTTTTCTCATTTTTTTATAGTGTTTTTAGCTGCAGACATTTTAAGGAATGTTACGGCTTTTTGGAGAATTGACTTCTTTATCACTACGCAGTGTCCTTTTTACCTCTGATAACATGGGAGTTATTTTTTAAAAAAATAAATTATTGTGTTTTTAGCATTCTTTAATTCAGGAATACATTATCTTATTTTACCAATCAAATTCATATGAAAAACACAATCATCTCCATCAGCATAATTTCACCATGTAACAGATTTAACACCACTAGTAGTTCTGGAAATAATTTTAAAAACATAAATTTTCCTTCTTCTTTTTATTTCAACAAAAACTATATATAGAACTTCTTCACATAGCAACCATAGGCCACTGTGGAAAGCAGTTTGAAGATTTCTCAAATGATTTAAAAGAGAACTACCATTTAATCCAGCAATCACACTGCTGGGTAGATATCCAAAAGAAAATAAGTCATTGTACCAAAAGGCATATACACTTGTATCTTCATTGCACTGCTATTCACAATAGCAGAGATGTGAAATCAGCTTAGGTGCCCAGTAATTTTAGATTGGATAAATAAAATATTGCACATATACACCACCCAATACCATGCTGCCATAAAAAAGAAAGAAATCATGTCCTTCGCAGCAGCATGGATGTGCTGGAGGTCATTATCCTAACCAAATTAAACAGGAACAGAAATACCACATGTTCTCACTTCTCATGGGAGCTAAGTATTTGGTACTCATGGAAATAAAGATGGCAACAATAAACACTGGGGACTACTAGAAGGGAGAGGAAAGGAGGCGCAAAAAGGACTGCAGAACTAACTGCTGGGCCAGGCACAGTGGCTCACAACAGTAACTTCAGCATTCTAGGAGGTCTAGGCAGGGAAGTCATTTGCATCCAGGAGTTTGAGAACAGCCTGGGCAACATGGTAAAAACCCATCTCTACAAAATAATAATAATAATAGTAATAATAATAATTTAATAGCTGGGTGTTGTGGAAGGCACCTGTAGTCCTAACTACTCAAGAGGCTGAGGCAGGAGGATCACTTGAGCTCAGGAATTCTACAGTGCAGTGAGCAGTGGTTGTGCCACTGCACTCGAGCCTGGGAGACAGAGCAAGAACTAGTGAAAGAAAGCAGAAAGAAAGAAAGAAAAGAGAAAGAAGGAAAGAAGTAAAGAAAGAAAAAGAAGGAAGGAAGGAAGGAAGGAAAGAAAGAAAGAAAGAAAGAAAGAAAGAAAGAAAGAAAGAAAGAAAGAAAGGAGGAAAGAAAGAAAGAGAAAGAAAGGAGAGAGAAGGAAGGAAGGAAAGAAAGAAAGGAGGGAGGGAGGGAAGGAGGAAGATAGGGAGGGAAGAAGGAAGGAAGGAAGAAAGAGAGGGAGGGAGGAGGGAAGGAAGGAAGGAAGGAAAAGAAGCACTAACTATTGGATACTATGCTCACTTCCCAGGTGATAGGTTCAATTGTATCTCAAACCTTAGCACCAAGCAATATACCTATGTAACAAATCTGCACAGCTACCCCCCAAATCTCAAATAAAAGTTGAAATTATAAAAATTACGTAAATAAATGAATATAAAAATCAATATCATATCCAGAATAAAAACCACAACTGAGTTTTAAATCTTCAGGTATTATGCAAATGTACTTTTTTGAGCTTGAAATCACCAGGCATATCCTACAGGTTGTCTACCAGCTGACTTTCCAAGTATAATATTATTTGTAGGAAATACTGAAGAACTAAATAACATGTTAAAATATCTTCGGGGCTTGAAAATACTAGATCTTCAAAACAACCCAAAATATCCACTCATAGTAGAATAGTACTTTCTAAATGGAAAATTCTGATTAGGCATTCTGTATTTTAATTCTATTAAAAATGTCAAATTATTTAGTCAAAGTTTAGTGGCTAGTATGTGAGAGAATGTAGGCATTATACCTTTTGTAAACTAGGAATTTATTCTTAAACTAAGACTACAGAATATTCATCTCTTCTTATTGTCATGGCAAACTTTTTTATATTATGGAGGGAATACATGCTGAATTGAATAACAAATCTTGCCAGCAATTTTCTTAAAAAGAGTAGTATATTATGTTTTGCATTTGTACATTAATTTTTAAGAATATTCTGTATATTCTGTTTAATGTAATATAATTGAGTAGATATATTTTTTTCAAATTATAAAGCAAGTAATTTTAAATTGACTGTCTTTTATAAGTGAAACTTTTGGCTAGTGATATATCTACTTTAAAAGAATGAGAGTAGCTTGTTTCCTTTAATCAGACTTTTTCAACAATTGCAATTTAGATTTGTGTACACTGGCCATAAATCATATACAGAGTAACATTAATGAAATTTTGTAATTGAAAGAAATGTTAATTGGACATTAGAATTCCCATTAACCTTTTACTGACTTTTAAATACTTCACCAATTTCTAGCTTTTTTAGACAGTGATAACGTTCCACATAATTTACTAATTTATTCTTCTAATTATATCTTTAACGATGAAGATAGTTCTGCAAGATACCTCAAGACTGCTTGATATAAATTTATCTTATATTTGTAAAAATGTGTGGTCTGACAGTCAGTAGATATAAGTGACTAAGATTTTAAAAAATCAAATACTGACCAGGTTTAAAAAATAAAACAAATAAAATTTTTAGTTACTTATTTTTTGTTTTAAAAGCAATTTGAGGTCTTTTCAACATCTGCAACATCTAGAACATTTTCAATAAATCTTTGAATATTCAATTACTAAACGCTTAGCTTTTCAAAGAAATCTGAATTATTATTCATCTCTACAAATTCAATTTCTAGCTCAGTGTTTAGGCCCCAGTAGCAGCTTTATTTTATTTTAAAATAAAATATATTAAATGATAAACTTTGTTCTTCTAATTTATTTTTTATTGTTTATCTTTAAGATAGGGCCTTGCTTTGTCACCTACCTTAAAGTGCAGTGGGATTATCACAGCTCACTGGAACCTCAAACTCCTGGCTGCTAATCCTTCCACCTCAGCTTCTCCAGTAGCTGGGACTAATTTTTCTATTTTTATATTTCTGTAGAGACAGGGTCTCCCTATGTTGTCCAGGCTGATAAACATTTTTAAACTATGTATTTTCTTCTCTAATTTGAAAATTATATTTTGTATAGGATATATATATTAGTCCATTCTCATGCTGCTATGAAGAAATAGCCAACACTGGATAATTTATAAAGAAAAGAGGTTAAATTGACTCACAGTTCCGCATGGCTGGAGAGACCTCAGAAAACTTACAATCATGGTGGAAAGCACCTCTTCACAGGACAGCAGGAGAGAGAATGAGTGCCAGCAGGAGAAATGCCAGACACTTATCAAACCAGCAGATCTCATGAGAACTCGCTCACTATCATAAGAACAGAGTGGGGAAAACTGACACCATAATTCAATTACCTCCCACCAGGTTCTTCCCTTAGCACTTGGGGGTTACAATTTGAGTTGAGATCTGGCTGGGGATGCAAAACTAAATGATATAAATATGTGATGAAATATATATGGTATCTTAATAAACTCAAATATTAGAATGATCCTTAAAAATTTGATTCACTCTAACATTTTTAATTTTGCTCTTTCTCATCAGTAGAATTTGCTTCCCTACTCCCCACTTAATAATAATAATATATAATATATAATTTACTGTATTATCTATAACAAAATATAACAAAGTTGATGTTCTTCATGATTTAGGAACCCAAATATTTCTAGGACACCCAAATCATGAACTCAATAAACTAATATATATTTAATTTCTTCAAGGTTGCCATGTCCAGAGGAAGAACAAAAAGAACATTGTAACATTGTAAGTTTTACCTAGATTTGTTAATCCAATTTTTCTTGAAATATTAAATTAATAATTAATTAATGAAAAATGGCTTAAAAACTGGTAAAAGAGGAAGAAAAAAATAAAGGTATCAATATTTCTAGGAACTGAAAAAACAGGTATATTGGGTACAACAGATGATATGAGAAAAATCTGACACAGAGCAATAATGCTGTGACTTTTATTATGTGTCCACCATAGACTTTTTTAAACCTATACAGTGCATAGTCTCCAAGTCTACATTAAGCATAGGAAAAACAATTCTGGTAAAATTGAAATGCAAATACGGTGAAACAGGAGAAAACCAGCTGTCCACTATTGATGCACTTTGACTAGGTAGATTGAAAAATAGATCCATTAAAATGACACAGAGCATGTGTTTAACATTCTTTAATGTCATGGTCAGTCAGATGTGAATACACACGGAAACACAGAGGAGGCTCAGGAAAACAAAGTTCATTATACTCACAGGTCCAAAAAACAGAAAGCATGCCATACCATGCAGGCTTACTCAAGGCAACACGCTGGCTGTCAGCCAGTGGAAGTGGAAGGGGTGAGCACTTCACAGAACACTTTATGGTGGTTTTCAAGGGAAAAGCATGGCACAGCAAACAGTTTAGGACTGGCTAATTTGAACAATATTGGCCGTCTCTAAGCTATAGGGACAGTTTCTAGTTACCTGGTATCTTGCCCTGGGATGATTAAGACAGAAGAATATTATCTACTTGGGAATAAGATCCAGATAGAGAAGATAGGGATCTGGATTGGTTACTTGGCATATCAAAGGCAAGCTCCTGTTGAGCCCTTTGCTGTCTCTGAGAATTAACTAGCTCTGGCAGGAGCAGCTTTTCTTCTCAGTGAGAACTGTTTAGAGGGAGGAATACTGCCACCAGGAGACACAAGAATGATTCCATTAAAATGGCAGCTAAGATTGCCACCTGGACACTTTGGGCTCCTCCTACCTTTGAGTCAACAGGCTAAGAAGAGAGTTACAGTGTTGGCTGGGGTGATTGACCCGGACTATCAAGATGAAATCAATCTACTACTCCATAACGGAGGTAAGGAAGAGAATACACGGAACACAGGAGATCTTTTAGGGCATCTCTTAGTATTACCATGCCCTGAGATTAAGGTCAATGGGAAACTACAACAGCTCAATCCAGGCAGGACTACAAATGGCCCAGACCCCCTCAGGAATGAGGGTGTGGGTCACTCCACCAGGAAACAAAACCATGACTTGCTGAGGCGCTTGCTGAAGGCAAAGGGAATAAAGAATTGGTATTAGAAAAAGGTAGTCATCAATACCAGCTATGACCACGTGACCAGCTGCAGAACGCAGACTGTAATTGTCATGAGTGTCTCCACCTTCTTTTGCTAAAAACATGTCTGTGCATGTATACACTTGTACTAAGAAAATATCTTTATTCCCTTTTCCTTTATCACGTGATGTAAGATTTATGGACTTCAATATAAGCCTTTTAGTACTGTTAAAGCTATGTAATAGTATTTGGGTTGGGGATTGGTACGTTTCTGTACGAAGGATAGTTGTACTATGTTAAGTGTAATTATGACCTTGTTATTGTCTTTATTGAAGATTATGTATGATCTCAGGAGATGTGTATGGGTTCAAGTTGACAAGGGGTGGACTTGTGATGGTTAATACTGAGGGTCAACTTGATTGGATTGAAGGATACAAAGTATTGATCCTGGGTGTGTCTGTGATGGTGTTGCTGAAAGAGATTAACATTTGAGTCAGTGGGCTGCGGAAGGCAGAGCCACCCTTAATCTGAGTGGGCACCATCTAATCAGCTGCCAGCAAATATAAAACAGTCAGAAAAATGTGAAAAAGAGAGACTGGCCTGGCCTCCCAGCCTACATCTTTCTCCCGTTCTGGATGCTTCCTGCCCTTGAACACTGGACTCCACGTTCTTCAGTTTTGGGAATTGTACTGGCTCTCCTTGCTCCTCAGCTTGCAGACAGCCTATTGTGGGACCCTGTGATTGTGTAAATTCATATTTAACGAACACCCCTTTGTATGTAGATATCCTATTAGTTCTGTCCCTCTAGAGAACCCTGACTAATACAGCAGGTATTCTTAACTGCCTTTTTCAGACAAGTAAATAGACTTCAATGAGGTTAAATAACTTACTGTAGGTTATATAACTAACAATAAAGGATGATAAGACTTTAACTCACGTGTCTTTATTATAAATTCTGTATCATTTCTAAATCCCTTCATCTTCATGTTTAGGCCAGAAGCTGCTATAAATCATGTACTTTTAGACTGTATTTTTTCTTTCTAATTGCAAGGATATTGAAGTTTAGGGTTATCACATCCCAACTCCGATGTCATTTTTAGTGTGTATGTATAAAAGTTTATTCATTTAATTAAAACCTTTGTGTCAAAAAAGATGTAAACACATCATAATATGGAGAAAATTTAAAAATATAAACAATCGATCATAGTGTTAGCATATAAAGGAGTGGCTCCAATAATTTCAGAAACTATAGACTTCTTATAAAATGTTATTGCCAGAAATAGAGAAATGCCTTAAAGGAAAAATGAGCAATTTATAAGGATAAAATAAAAATAATATGTTCTTAATAACATGTCTTATCTAAGTTCATAAATCAAAGTGAACAGAACTAGAGATAGGAATTGACAAAAACAAACCACAGTTGATATTTTGAAAATCCTTCTCTCAGTACTTGTCAAAACAATAGATAAAAAATACCCATTATTTTCAAGGGAAAAATGTTTGTGTGTCAGATAAACCATGAGTTTTGAATTAAGTCAATACTACAATTTAAATAATTAAAAGAGTATGTTTTCTTCCACAGATAGGATGACAATACAACAATAGTAATAAGGGATCTAGGAATTGCAGATATTTCAAAACAGAACCACACACTTAGAAATATTATATGTCTAGTAAAAAATTACTAGAAAAATGAATAAGTACTTTGAACTGAATTATTATGAGAATGGAACTTATCAAAATTTGTTGGCTGAATCTATAAAGATTCACTCAGATTCACCTAGAAAGAAAATTAAAATTTTACATGTTTCTATGACAAAGGATTATTTAATACTATTTTATTAGTTTAATATTAGTTTATATTAGAATACAAGAAAGAATTAAAATCAGTGACTTAAAGTTCTTCCTTGAGATGAGAAAAGCAAATCCAATATAAGCAAAACAATAATTTTTAAATTAGAACCAAAATAAGTATAAAAGAAACACCACAGAAATATCCTCAATGCCAAAAGTTTGTTCTTTGGAAAGATTAATAAAACTGATAAACATTCAGCTAGATTGAATGAATATTATGAGTGCTACAAAGAAAAAGAGCAAAGTTTTATATCTTCCATTTTTAAAAATTACCTCATTTCCTTTTTGAAAATCTATAGTTTTAGTACCCAAATTAATACATCTAAAGAATCTTGATGACAGATTATTTATTTTTTTTTATTTCCTCAAGTCCTAAGAGTATGACTGGCATCAACTGAAAACAAAACGAAACAAAAACAGTTGATAGTCCAATAATCTTCAAATATACACAAATTATTAGAAAAATATTGTATACTAGTTGATTTACTGTGTATTATTTTCAGTATATTTATTTTGTGGAATAAATAATTAGGAATAATTAGGTGTGAACATAAAAAACTGAGGGAGTGACATTACTATTAGAATATTGGACACACAGATAATTACATGGAATGCCTTATATGAACTCTGTCAAACACAGATTGAAGGATACTTTACTATCAGTTACCAGCTTTGAGATGAGACTCACAAAGCTGAAATCAGAAACCGGGGATAATAAGGAAGGATGCCACAATTTAATACAAGAAGCAAGAGGTATCAGATATAACAATTCCATAGCAAGTAATGTGTCATATAAACAGATGAAAGAATAGATTTCATGGTAGTTGAATTACTGGAGAGCTGGAAAGATTAAATATTCTATTTTAAAATTGTAATAGTTGAATTCAAACATTCGGAAAGTGCTAAATTTAGATTGATAAAAATTTATAAAATTTCTTACAAAATTGAGACTTAAGACTAAATCCTTTGTGATTTTTGTGTTTGGAAGGTGGATATTTTCATTTGATTCTTGGATATTATGCATTGAAAAGAGATCCATACCCTTTCCACATTATTTACTCAAAACTAGTATTTTCTTGAGCTGCCTCCATGGTCCTTGTGATATTATAAATAGTGAAAATACAATGACAAGAAAAATTTTGTGCCTTCAGAAGTTTATACATTCATGCACGCATAATGACATTTAGGTCAATGATAAACCACACATACAACAGGGGTCTCATACAATTTAGACATACTCTCTTTTAATTCTTTAAATTTCATTGACTTAATTCAATATGCCAATTTAATGTTTAGATATGTTTAGATATACCAATAACCATGTTTTAGAATTGCCGACACTATTCAATGCAGTAACATGGTGTACAGGTTTGTAGACTAGGGGTATTAGGCTATACCATATAGCCTAGATGTGTAGCAGGCTATGCAGTCTAAGTTTGTATACCACACTCCATGATGTTTGCACAATAATGCAATTCTCTGATGATGCCTTTTTCAGATGTAGTCCCAACATTAAATGATGCATTACTGTATTCCAGTGTGGGGGACACAGCTGAACAGTACATAAGGCTGTATAAATGTTAGAATGCATGAATCTTAATGATAAAAAATATAGGGAAAGGTGAAAAAATTTAAAATAATTGAAATTATATAAAGTATATGTTTTATCTACAGTGGAATACAATTAAAAATTAATAACTGTTGGAAATTAGGAAGTTTCAAAAATAAATGAAAATTAAATAGCACACTATTAAATAAACAAGAATCTAATAAGAAATCACAAGAAAAATTGTTCCTAACCAAAACATAATACAATATTCCAATATTTACGAGATACATCTAAAGCAGTGCTTAGAAGCCAATTTCTAGCTATAATTTCCTGTATCAAAAAGAAGAAATGTCTTAAACTACCTATTTTTTATTAAAAAACTAATAAGAGAAGAATAAGAGGAACACTATAAAGACAAAGCATATAAAAAGAAATGAATAATGAATATTAGTTTAAAAAATAAACTAAATTGTAGAAAACCAATAAAGAAAATCAACAAAATCAAAAGTTGTTTCTTTGAAAGATAAAGAAAACTGGCAAAACTTCATCTTGAAATAGAAAGTGAAAAAGGGAGAAGACACAAATTACTAAATCAAGAATGAAAGGGATTTTATTACCAGCCTCATAGAAACAAAAAGGATTATAAAGAAACTCTAGACATAACTGTATGCCAACAAACTAATATGTATGAAACGGACTGATTTTATTAAAAAATCAACTATCAAAACTGAAGAAACTATAGAAAAAGTGAAAAGTAAGCATACAAGTAGACTGAATTAGGGATTAAAGAACGACCCACCCAGAGCCTCCTGCTACACACACACACACACATACACAGAAAATCCCTGACCCAGCAGGCTTCACTGATGAATTCTCCCAAATATTAAAGAAATATAAACACTATTTCTCTGCAAACTATTGCAAAATATATAAGAGTTAACACTTCCAAGCATATTCTTTGAGGCTCCTGTTGCCCTGATACCAAAGCCTGACAATGACATCACAGGAAAAAAAATAGTACAGGCCAATATTCTTCATAAATATAGAGGAAAAATACTCAACAAAATGTTAAAAACAAAACAAACTAAATCCAGCACCATATAAAAAAGATTATACATTATGTACAAGTGAGATTTATTTTAGGGAAAAAAGGTTAATTTAATATTAGAAACTCAATAATCCTATACAATAAAGGTAGTATACTATAGTAATAAAACAATGGATAAAAGCCACATGATCATATCACAATGATGAAAAGGCATTTAACAAAAAACTATATTCATCTTATTATTAAAATATCTAACAATGTGACAATTGAGGGAAACATCCTAACCTTGATAAAGGAAATCTATCTACAACTAATATAATAGCTAATGATGAAACATGGAAAGAATCTCCCTAAGATCTGGAGCAAGACAAACAAATCTGTTCTCACCCCTTCTGTTAAACAGTGTCCTGGAAGTTCCAACCAGGGAAAGCAGGCTAAAAAAAAAAAATGAAATACAAGACATCCAGATGGTAAAGGAAGACACAAAGCTTCTCTACTCACAGATGACATGATCCTCTATGTTAAAAACAAACAAACAAACAAAAACCCAAGTAATTTACTCACAACCACACCCCTGCAACACACAATTGAATTAATGATTTCAGCAAGGACATAGAATCAAAGATTAACATAAAAATCCAATGTATTTCTATCAATGAGCAGTGAACAAACTAGAAATAAAATTAAGGAAACAAGTCTTTTTTTAAAGCATAAAATAATAAAATGCTCAGCAATAAATATAACAAAAGAAGTGCAATACTATACAATAAAGTCTATAAAACATCATCAAAAGAAATTAAAGAACACCTAAATAAATGGAAAGTTACCCCAATTTTGTAAATGGGAAAGTATAATATTTTAAAAGAGTAATATATTCAAAATTATTCACAAATCTACACTTTAATTATCAAAATAGCAGCTGCCTTTTTGGCATAAATTGACAAGATAGTCCTGAAATTCATATGAAAATATAAGGCACCATGATTAGCCAAATAAATAATGAAAAGAACAAAACTGAATGACTCACACACCATGATTCCAAAACTTACCATAGAACTACATTAATCAAGAGAGTGAGAGTGTGGTAATGGCATAAATATAGACATATAGACTACTAAAATAGAATTAGGAGTCCAGAAATAAATTTTCACATGTATCATCATTGAGTTTTGACAAGAGTACCAGAAAATTTAATAGAGAAAAATGGTCTTTCAATAAATTGTGTTGAAACAACCAGATATTCACACGCAAAGAAAAAAGACATTAGAGCCCTACTTTCCATGATATATAAACATTTACTCAAAAATAGATAAAATACTTAAAGGTAATAACTAAAATCATAAAATATTTTAAATAAAAACATAGGACTTTTTTTTTTTTTGCTCTGTGTTAGATAATGATTTCTTAGATATGACACTAAAATCACAGCCAACAACAAAAATAGGTAAATTGAACTTCATGAAAGTTGAACAATTTTTTTTAGCTTTTAGGTTAAGGGATACAGGTGAAGGTTTGTCATATAGGTAAACTCATGTGACAGGGGTTTGCTGTAGAGATTATTTTATCACCCAGATGTGATAAAAGCTAGTACCTAATTGTTATTTACTCTTCTCCTCTCCCTCCTCCTACCCTCTACACTCAGGTAGACCTCAGTGTCTGTTGTTCTCTTACTTCTGCTCATGAGCTCTCATCATTTAGTTCCTACTTGCAAGTGACAACATGCAGTATTTGATTTTCTGTTCCTGCGTTAGTTTGCTAAGGATAATATTGATCAATTTTATGCAGCAAACATAATCATGAAAATGAAAACTCAGAGAATGGGAGAAAATATTTTCTAATTATATCTCTGACAAGAGACTTTTATTCAGAAAATAGAAGAATTCTTGCAACTCAACAATAAAAAGACAACCCAATTTTTAAAATGACAAAATAGTTTACTAGATATTTCCCCAAGGAAGATGTACAAATGACTAATGAGTACATGCAAAGATGTTCAATATTATTAATTTGGAAAATAGAAATCAAAACCACAATGAGATACTAATTCACACCTAATAGGATGTCTATAATGAAAAAGACAATAACAAGTTTTGATGATAATGTGGAGAAATTGAAACTCTTTTACATTTCTGGTTGAAATGTAAAATAGTTCAATTTCGGACTCCAGGTTGGAAGTTTCTCAAAAACAAATTAAGTCTACAATTCTCACATGACCCAGGATTTTCACTCCTGGTTATATCCCCAAGAGAAAAGATACGTAAATTCACACACAAACTTGTACATTCACGTTCACAACAGCATTATTCATAATAGACAAAATTTGAAAATAGTCCAAATGTTTATAAATTGATAACTGGACAACCTATATGTTCTGTACCCAGATGATTAAATATTATTTGGCTATAAAAGGAATGAAGTACTGATACATGCCACAAGAAGAATGCACCTTGAAAACACTACCCTAAGTGAAAGAAGCTAAGTGCAAAAGGTTATATATTGTAAACCACTTTTATATAAAGTGTACACAGTGAACAAATTTCTAGACACAGAAAGTAGATTAATGTGTGCCATGGGCCCAGGAAGAGGGAAGAAATTGAGAGAGACTGTTAATTTTAGGGTAACGAAAATGTTCTGGAATTGGAGAGTGATGGTTAGTGGCTGAACAACTTTGTAAATATGTCAAAAACCATAAAATTGTACACAGAACGTATTAAAAAATAAAATATTGACATACATATTAGAGAGATATCTGGTATTTACATCTAATGTCTTTATCAAAATACTCAAGAGTGGAAAGACTGTAAACAACTGAACGTAAAGAATCTGCCATAGAGAGCATGATGGAATATGACATCAGATAGGTGATGTTCACGAATATAAATTATGCAGCTAGGGAAAGACTCAGGAAGAGTCCTACTAACAAGACATGCTGGAGATTATATGTTAGTATATTTTATTGATTTCTAATATTATGAAACACAATAGAAAAAATAGAAATACAAAATTGTTTAATTTAGGAGAATTACTCTTTGAAAAATCCTGCCTGTTTAACACTGATAGTTGAATTGAGAACTGTGTTTTATCATCGACCACGTCTGCATGTGTGAATCTGAAAATGAACTGAAACAGTACTCAGTGGAGAGAAGTGGAGTCAAAGGTGATCTTCAATAACTTTACCTGACAACAAATACTGAGTTGAAATAAACTTTTAATCTAAAAAAGAGACAAAGAGTGAAAAAATAAAACAGCTCATATGAAAAAACAAGCAAAGCAGAAGAAAGCAACAAAAGAGCAAAGAGCAGATGACAATTTTTAAACTAAAAAAGATTTTTTCAGTCAAGTAAAACATCTTAAAAATATCGTTGTATTTTCTTTAGGACTTGGATGCTAGCAAATATAAAGAACTAAGGCAGAACTCTATCGGGAGAGAAATTGATGTGTAAAAGTCCAAGGGTAATTTAGGCAAAAGTCAAAGGATAGTTTATGCACTTACTAAATAATTACTTACTAAGTATCCACCACTGAACAGATGTGGTTCAAGGTGGAAGAAAAACAAGAGAAATAAAATATCTTTACAGAATTTTGTTCTATTTTCCAGTATATAAGCAATATCCATAACAAAAACATGAAATACATGGCATATTTTGTAGTAGTTATGCTTATGGAGACTAAAAAAGGAGAGCTGGAGAAGAGAGTGTTAGAAAGTCACAGTTTGTATTAGGATCAGGTTTAAAAGGTTTCATTGAGATGAAATTTGAGCAAACATCAAGTATACATATTAAAGAGAATGGGAATCTTTTAAAAATATGGACTTTAATGTGAAACACTGTGAAAAGAGATAAAGTAATGGGTATTTGCTGAAGAATACTTATTAACTCATTTTTACATTCCTAGGTTTGCCATTGTCTTAACTCTCTATATGTGATTATAGCCTGATTATGATTTTCAAGTCTCACTACTCTTTATCAGTGCAACCGTCTTCTTGATTATACTGCACACTATGGAATCTCTCAGGCAGTTGAGATTGGCTCTCTTCCATGGTTGGCACGTACCTCAAAGACATATGGGCTTTCTTTCTCTCCACTCTTAAAATATGCTGTTTGGATATCAGGATAATCTCCTGCTGTATTTACCTAATTCATCTAGATATCACAACTCCTCCATAATTATTTTTGTTTCCAAGTTATTTGACCACTTTAAGGTGTTCACACTGTTCACGACTGCCTCTGTTTGAAACCCCCTTTTTCCTTCTGATTTTATGAAGCTTTTCTCTCCCTATTCTACTTTTTTGACAACTGTTTTGATGGACATGTACCTTCCTCTAATGCTCCTTAAATGTTAATTTAGAAATTTTTCCTTGGACTGCTTTTTGTTATCCCTCTTCACAGACACTCAGACAATGTTATCAATACTTGTTTTCATTTGCCACAGGCGTTTCTCAATTCTCAAGTTAAAAAAATACCTTAAAAATTAAAGTTAAATTCCAGGAAAATACCTCACTCCCATTTACCTTGAATTGTATGTACTAACACCGTTTCATATCTAAGCAAATTTAGAATGTGTTCAGATATGTGTGTTTAGATACGCAGCCTTACAATGTTTTTATTCAATCTATTGCACATTCCTTAGAAATTGTCAGTTCTGGAGAACTGAGTATCAGAAATTATCCTTAATACCTGTATCTTCTAACTTTTATATCCATTTAATCATTTGACCTGTAAATAATTTCTTCTTAGGGTTTTCCTTGTCTCTCTTTTCTCTGCTTCCCCATAAATATTCTAGCTTGGACTTTCAGTGTTTTCCTTCTACATTTTGTGTTAACAGGCTTAGATCCTATGCTGGTTAGGATAGAAGGCTAAGCTAGAAGAAGCATGAGACTCAGTGCAATAGTTACTTAAAGAATGAATGTTTTTCTTTCTCATGTTAAAATTCTAACATAAGTGGCTCATGTCTGCAAGACACCTTGATTCCTTTCTAAGTTTCCTTCTACAATTCCCTAATATATTTATTGCCTGCATGGTGTACACTATATGTTTGGTCACTTCTACTTTAATCTAATAAGGAACATTGAAGAAGGCAAATGATTAATTTTAAAACAAAGCCTCGAAGTGGCACACATTGCTTTTGCACATATCATATTTGCAAGAATTTTATGGCCACATGAAATGCCATGGAAGCCAGAAATTATATTTAGGTGCACAGGAATTAAGAAAACAAATTCTGGAAAATCATCTTTTCCATATATCCCATGGTCTAGACCATCTCTTTCAACCTTATCAAAGTAACCCACACAATCCCAAGCTTCACAGTATTTAGTAACTATATACAACACACTGAGTAAATCTAAACATTTCATATATTGTATTATACTAGTACTTTATGTTCATCTTTGCCTAGAAATCAAATCATATTTTATCTCTTCGTCCACTTGAATTCACACTGCAGAAATTCTGAATTATGTATGATTCTTTAAAGAATATTTTTCTTCTCTTTCTCCTCCTCCTGCCCTTCCTCCTCCTCCTCCTTCTTTTTCTTCCTTATATTATTTCTGTTTTTCAATGATAATTACCTTATTCTGGAAGGTATCCTTCACCTTTGCCCATCTAAAATATTGTAATGTTTTTTCAAATATTCATTATTTTAGTTTTTTTTTTTTTTTTTTTTTTTTTTGAGATGGAGTTTCTCTCTTGTTGCCCAGGCTGGAGTGCAATGGTGTGATCTCGGCTCACTGCAACCTTCACCTCTCGGGTTCAAGTGATTCTCCTGCCTCAGCCTCCTGAGTAGCTGGGATTACAGGCACGCACCACCATGCCCGGCTAATTTTTCTTATTTTTAGTAGAGACAGGGTTTCACCATGGCCAGCCTGGTCTTGAACTCCTGACCTCAGGTGATCCGCCTGCCTCGGCCTCCCAGAGTGCTGGGATTACAGGCGTGAGCCACTGTGCCCGGCCTGTTTTAGTATTTCTTTAAAAATAATTATTCACCTAAGTATCCACTAACGTTTGTATGCAGTTAAATGATAATTATATTTAATAATTATTGTTCTTTTCTCAATCTCTGAAGTAGGTTGTAAGCTCCTTAACATCAGGGTTATGTCTATTTATATTGATAATGTATGCTATATAGCCATTTAAAAATAAATAATTCACAAATTATGCTGTAAAGCTAAGTAAATAAAAAAATAGTTCTACTAAGAAAAGAACACTACAAGGAACCATTTTATTCAGTTTAAGGATTACACATAAAACTCTAATAGTATAATATCATACCAACATATGCAAATTTCTTTAAAGGTTGGAATTATTGCTACTATTACCTAAAGGTAAAAACTTTACTATGAGAAAAGTTATATTCAATAATATTTTCAAATTTAATTCAATTAACTAGGTTTTGATTTGATTTGTTTTGTTATATAGGCTACTTATATTACATTTACAAATAAGATTCTCAGCATTAATTCATAGAGTAGTGGTATGTTTTACAATTTTGCAAATACCACCTTTTTTTGCATATACCACCCTTTCAAATAGATGAGCAAAATATTTGCATGATCGTGCACATATTCTTAAAATATTAGCAATGATGAAGTACATAACAACAGTCTCATTTTATTTGTACTGTTCATTGATTCCAGATATCTTTCATTACTTTAGATATTTTGCATTATTTTCTGGCTGTGAGAGAGCCACATGAAGATATATTTTCAGGCAACTCGAACAAGTCATTAATTCTGACTTATGACTAAAAGTGTTAATATCCCATCAAGTAGCATTATCTGCTGCTGTGATCACTAAAACTATATTTGCTGTCAGCAGACTTGATGCCTGACCCTAAGTAGATAAATCAGAGAATTCTCTGACTTATCAATACCCAAGTATGAATTTTCACTGAGTATGTTTGACATACAATCTGAATAATGAGCTGCCCCCAAAAATAATGAATTAAAAGGTTAAGTAGAAGACATACATTATTCAGTTGAGAATTAGCCAAGGGAAGTTTCCTGCATAGATGAAGTTTTATGAACGATTTTGGTCTAAGAAATGAAGTTGGATGATGAAATTTCATCTAGATTTCCATTTCCTTAATTATATATATTGCCGAGACCAGCATGGTGGGGGAGATCCTAACCCAGAGCGCTGGAGGACTTAAAGACACACATACAGAAAAATAGAGGTGTAAAGTGGGAAATCAGTGGTCTCACAGCCTTCAGAGCTGAGAGCCCCAAACAGATATTTACCCACATATTTATTAACAGCAAGCCAGTCATTAGCATTGTTTCTATAGATATTAAATTAACTAAAAGTATCCCTTATGGGAAACAAAGGGATGGGCTGAATTAAAGGAATAGGTTGGGCTAGTTAATTGCAGCAGGAGCACGTCCTTAAGGCACAGATCCCTCATGCTATTGTTTGTGGCTTAAAAATGCCTTTAAGCGGGCGGGCCAGGTATTCCTTGCCCTCATTCCCGTAAACCCACAACCTTCCAGAGTGGGCATTATGGCCATCATGAACATGTCACAGTGCTGCAGAGATTTTGTTTATGGCCAGTTTTGGGGCCAGTTTATGGCCAGATTTTGGGGGCTTGTTCCCAACAATTTATTTGTAAAGCTTTGACTGTTTTCTAATTAGTTTAGAGTTATCTCTCAAGAGACATCTTAAAATGTATTTAATCAGACTACGAAACTCAAAGTAATCAATCTCTATTTTTTTTATAGAGAAAAAGCTCTTCTACTACTATTACTACTGTGAATAATATGGCCCCCTCATACCGCCTATTGTACGGACAACTATTAATTTTTTCTACCACTTCATGAATTGAAACACTTTAGTGTATCAGGCAATGTAATATAGCATTAATTAAAATAAAACAGTTGTCATTAATGTAATCGCCAATTGTACAGTGAGTAATATTTTTTTCGTTAGCTCAGGTGATTTAAGTGACCTGGCCATGTTCACACAGCTAATGATTGAATAATCTGGAATTCAAAGCCATGACTGGTTTATCCATGAAATTTCATGCTATTTCCTTAACCACAATCACAGTGTTTCAACCATTACATGCTCTAGTACATATAATTTAGTTCCATCAAAAGATACATTTAACAATAAGCCATAGGAAATGCATATGAAGAATCCAAATTCAATGAAATCTACATCAAAATTTGAGCAAGTTATTTTTTTAATATTAATTGAGTCTAAAGTTTATATGGAAAGGCAAAAAAGTTTCAAATAGCTCACACAATACTGAAAAAGAACAAAATTATATTTCTGACAATACCTGATCTCGAGAGTTACTATAAAGCCACAGTGACCACGACAGAGTGATAATGATGAAAGAGAATAGAAGTAGATCGATGGGCTGGAATGGACAGTACACCATTGTTATATACCACTAGGTTTCTGAGAATTGTAATCCATCAGAATGGCATCTTTAATCTCATGCTTTGTCTTTTTATACATAGGATAAATTTCTGTACAGAGACTATTACATGGGTTGTACATTTATATCTGTACATCCCATCTAATATACAAAATTTAAATTTTCTACATACATGGAAATATGCCACATAAAATAAATTGTTGCTGAGCCTTATCCAAACTTTATAAATTGTTTTGAAATAAATAAAAACTTTCCAAAGGTGTTACATAATTTGCCTGCATAGTATACTTATTATTCCTATCTTACATTATTCAATTAGGCCCAAAAAACAAATTACTGACCATTTTCATTTCAGATTTCAAATTTCCTATGCATCTGAGGATAGTGCCTCAGTGATTTTTGATCCTCATTTTTCACATGGAAAATTTGAAACTAGTTTGATATTAGCTGTCATGGACAGTAGAAAGAGCATTTTCAGGGCAGTCAGCTGAAACCAGGGTTGAGAAAGAAATCATGATAGGACTCCTGGGTCAACAGTCATATCTCACCTCTTGTTGGTTTCATTCATAGTTTTAAATGCTGGAGAAGGTGAGAAGAGATGACAGAGTCTCAGAATTATTATAGAGTCTCAAAATTAGTATAATTCTGTCTAATCACTTTAAAATGTATTGATAGTATTCATTGATTTATTAAAGTAAAATATAGTATTAATAGTTTTGAAGTAATTTAATCTAAAATATTGTTATCCTCCTTCCGTGTAACACCATATTTCATTCTTTCAATCAAATCTCTATGGCAATTATTCTATAAAAGATACAATAACAAGCACGATAAATTTAAAATAGCATGTTTGTGCACATAAGGTTCTATGGAAAATTTATTAAAATAAATATGATAATTTGGCAAGATATAATGCATTAACAAGTCATTGTGTTTAAGTCTATAAACTGTTAGTATAAAATGAAAATACAAAACGGTGAAATATATGAATATGGAAGACATATATACACACACATATATATGTGTGTATATATATATATACACATATATATGTATATATATATATATACACACATATATATATATGTATATATATATATGTATATACACAAAATTAAGAACATTTTTAACTATCAGCAACATACAGGCCAGAAAACCTGAGATTTAATAAAACACTACAATATAACCAAAACATCAAATAGCAAAAAAAAAAAAAAAAAGTCTAAAAATAGAAAAAAACCATGATGGACTCTGAAACATAAAAGAGGAAATTAATAGGATCTCCATACATAGAAGAATATTAGAAATTGAATATTTAATAATTTAATGATTTTCTACCTATATTCATTTACAGACTTTGTGTCATCCCATTCAAAATTCCACAAGTTTATGAGTTTCCCTGTATAAGTATGTTTATATGTGTGAAACAAGATAAACTGAATTTAAAATTCATATCTAAATATAAAGGACAACATATACCTAAGAATGACATTGCAGAAAGACCAATTTTAATGGAAAGCACAGAAATTAAAAACAAACAAATCTGATCAATGAACTAGCATAGAGAGTACAGAAACTGAAAAAAATATGCATTAATACTTATGAGAAAAATGACAGTGTAAAGAAGTAAAAAAAAAAAAAAAAAACAGTATTTTCAATAAGTGACTTTAGTCCTATTCACTACTAGTAAGAAGTAACAGTGAAATTTACTCATTTTCAAACTACTCTTAAAATTAACTTCTAAGGGGAAAGTAAAGTAAAAAAACAATAACTGTCTTGAAGAATAAAGTGAGATACATTGTTTTGGAGTCAGTTTTGACTTCTGAAATAGTGCAATTTATAAACAAAAATTAACTACATTAAAATTAAGAACTATTTATCAGAAAAAAGAAACATTCAGGTAAGAGAATGACAAGTCAAGATACAGTGTGGGATATTATTTGCAACATGCAAATTTGAAAAAAAGGCTCATATCCTGAACAGGAAAATAACTACTATAAATAAATAATCTCTGATAATTGATCAGAAATCAATGATCTCTTTTAACAAGTTTATTAATAGGGTACATGTGGGATTTAGACTTGCTAAATATAAATCAAAGGGAAAAAACAAAAGTAGAAAATGTCAGGCCTCTGAGCCCAAGGTAAGCCATCATATCCCCTGTGACCTGCACATACACATCCAGATGGCCGGTTCCTGCCTTAACTGATGACATTTCACCACAAAAGAAGTGAAAATGGCCTGTTCCTGCCTTAACTGATGACATTGTCTTGTGAAATTCCTTCTCCTGGCTCATCCTGGCTCAAAAGCTCCCCTACCGAGCACCTTGTGACCCCCACTCTGCCTGCCAGAGAACAACCCCCCTTTGACTGTAATTTTCCTTTATCTACCCAAGTCCTATAAAACGGCCCCACCCTTATCTCCCTTCACTGACTCTCTTTTCGGACTCAGCCAGCCTGCACCCAGGTGATTAAAAGCTTTATTTCTCACACAAAGACTGTTTGGTGGTCTCTTTACACAGACGTGCATGAAATTTGGTGCCGTGACGTGGATCAGGGGCCCTCCCTTGGGAGATCAATCCCCTGTCCTCCTGCTCTTTGCTCCATGAGAAAGATCCACCTACGACCTCAGGTCCTCAGACCAACGAGCCCAAGAAACATCTTACCAATTTCAAATCTGGTAAGCGGCCTCTTTTTTCTCTCTTCTCCAACCTCCCTCACTATCCTTCAACCTCTTTCTCCTTTCAATCTTGGCACCACACTTCAATCTCTCCCTTCTCTTCATTTCAATTCCTTTCATTTTCTGGTAGAGACAAAGGAGACATGTTTTATCTGTGGACCCAAAACTCTGGGGCCGGTCACGGACTGGGAAGGCAGGCTTCCCTTGGTGTTTAATCATTGCACGGATGCCTCTCTGACTATTCTTCTGTTTCAGAGGTGTCAGACCATGCAGGGACGCCTGCCTTGGTCCTTCACCCTTAGTGGCAAGTCCCACTTTTCTGGGGGAGGGGCAAGTACCCCAACCCCTTCTCTCCGTGTCTCTACCCCTTCTCTGCTTTTCTGGAGGAGGGGCAAGAACCCCTCAACCCCTTCTCCTTCACCCTTAGCGGCAAGTCCCGCTTTTCTAGGGGACAAGAACACCCAATCCCTTATTTCTGGGCCCCGACCTCTTATCTCTGTGCCCCAACCCCTTTCCCTCTTTTCTGGAGGGTAGGAACCCCCGAACCCCTTCCCTCTGTGTCTCTACTCTCCTTTTCTCTGGGCTTCCCTCCTTCACTATGGGCAACTTTCCACCCTCCATTCCTCCATCTCCCTTAGCCTGTGCTCTCAAGAACTTAAAACCTCTTCAACTCACACCTGACCTAAAACCTAAATGCCTTATTTTCTTCTGCAATGCTGCTTGACCCCAATACAAACTCAACAGTGGTTCCAAAGAGCCAGAAAATGGCACTTTCAATTTTTCCATTCTGCAAGATCTAAATAATTCTTGTCGTAAAATGGGCAAATGGTCTGAGATGCCTGACGTCCAGGCATTCTTTTACACATCGGTCCCTCCCTAGTCTCTGTGCCCAGTGCAACTCATCCCAAATCTTCCTTCTTTCCCTCCCAACTGTCCCCTCAGTCTCAACCCCAAGCATCGCTGAGTCTTTCTAATCTTCCTTTTCTACAGACCCATCTGACCTCTCCCCTCCTCCCCAGGCTGCTCCTCCCCAGGGTGCTCCTCACCAGGCTGAGTTAGGTCCCAATTCTTCCTCAGCCTCCGCTCCTCCACCCTATAATCTTTTTATCACCTCCCCTCCTCACACCTGGTCTGGTTTACAGTTTAATTCCCTGAGAGCCCTCCCCCACCTGCCCAGCAATTTCCTCTTAAAAAGGTGGCTGAAGCTAAAGGCATAGTCAAGGTTAATGCTCCTTTTTCTTTATCTCACCTCTCCCAAATCAGGGAGCGTTTAGGCTCTTTCATCAAATGTGAAAAACCCAGCCCAGTTCATGGCTCCTTCGGCAGCAACCCTGACACGCTTTACAGCCCTAGACCCTAAAAGGTCAAAAGGCCATCTTATTCTCAATATACATTTTATTACCCAATCCACTCCTGACATTAAATAAAACTCCAAAAATTAAATTCCGGCCCTCAAACCCCACAACAGGACTTAATTAACCTCGCCTTCAAGGTGTACAATAATAGAGTAGAGGCAGCCAAGTAGCAATGTATTTCTGAGTTGCAATTCCTTGCCTCCACTGTGAGACAAACCCCAGCCACATCTCCAGCACATAACAACTCCAAACGCCTGAACCGCAGCTACCTGGGGTTCCTCCAGAACCTCCTCCCCCAGGAGCTTGCTACAAGTGCCAGAAATCTGGCCACTGGGCCAAGGAATGCCCACAGCCCAGGATTCCTCCTAAGCCATATCCCATCTGTGTGGGACCCCACTGAAAATCAGACTGTTCAACTCACCTGGCAGCCACTCCCAGAGCCCCTGGAACTCTGGCCCAAGGCTCTCTGACTGACTCCTTCCCAGATCTTCTCGGCTTAGCGGCTGAAGACTGACACTGCCCGATCGCCTCGGAAGCCCCCTAGACCATCACAGACACACAGTTTTGAGTAACTCTCACAGTGGAAGGTAAATCCGTCCCCTTCTTAATCAATACAGAGGCTACCCACTCCACATTACCTTCTTTTCAAA
This sequence comes from Homo sapiens, assembly GCF_000001405.40. Classification (NCBI taxonomy): domain Eukaryota; kingdom Metazoa; phylum Chordata; class Mammalia; order Primates; family Hominidae; genus Homo; species Homo sapiens. The sequence goes on along the minus strand of NC_000013.11, from coordinate 87,189,546 downwards.
GGCCTGTTTCCCTTGCTTCCGTAACTGTTGTGGGTATTGACGGCCAGGCTTCTAAACCTCTTAAAACTCCCCAACTCTGGTGCCAACTTAGACAATACTCTTTTAGGCACTCCTTTTTAGTTATCCCCACCTGCCCAGTTCCCTTATTAGGCCAAGACACTTTAAATTATCTGCTTCCCTGACTATTCCCATCAGGTGAGACTGTAGCCACTCCTCATTGCCACCTTTTCCCCCAGTTCAAGGCCTCCTTCACATCCTCCCCTTGTATCTCCCCACCTTAACCCACAAGTATAAGACACCTCTACTCCCTCCTTAGCAACTGATCATGCACCCCTTATCATCCCATTAAAACCTAATCACTCTTACCCTGCTCAATGCCAATATCCCATCCCACAGCACACTTTGAAAGGATTGAAGCCTGTTATCACTCGCCTGTTACAGCATGGCCTTTTAAAGCCTATAAATTCTCCTTACCATTCCCCCATTTTACCTGTCCTAAAACCAGACAAGGCTTACAGGTTAGTTCAGCATCTGCGCCTTATCGACCAAATTGTTTTGCCTATCCACCTCGTGGTGCCAAACCCATATACTCTCCTATCCTCAATACCTGCCTCTATAACCCATTATTCTGTTCTGGATCTCAAACATGCTTTCTTTACTATTCCTTTGCACCCTTCATCCCAGCCTCTCTTCGCTTTCACTTAGACTGACCCTGACGCTCATTAGGCTCAGCAAATTACCTGGGCTGTACTGCCTCAAGGCTTCACAGACAGCCCCCATTACTTCAGTCAAGCCCAAATTTCATCCTCATCTGTTACCTATCTCGGCATAATTCTCATAAAAACACACGTGCTCTCCCTGCTGATCATGTCCGATTAATCTCCCAAACCTCAAGCCCTTACAAAATAACAACTCCTTTCCTTCCTAGGCATGGTTAGTGCGGTCAGAATTCTTACACAAGAGCCAGGACGGCACCCTGTAGCCTTTCTGTCCAAACAACTTGACCTTACTGTTTTAGCCTAGCCCTCATGTCTGCGTGCAGCGGCTGCCACTGCTTTAATACTTTCAGAGGCCCTCAAAATCACAAATATGCTCAACTCACTCTCTACATTTCTCATAACTTCCAAAATCTATTTTCTTCCTCATACCTGATGCATATACTTTCTGCTCCCCAGCTCCTTCAGCTGTACTCACTCTTTGTTAAGTCCCACAATTACCATTGTTCCTGGCCAGGATTTCAATCTGGCCTCCCACATTATTCCTGATACCACACCTGACCCCCATGACTGTATCTCTCTGATCCACCTGACATTCACCCCATTTCCCCATATTTCCTTCTTTCCTGTTCCTCACCCTGATCACACTTGATTTATTGATGGCGGTTCCACCAGGCCTAATCGCCACACACCAGCAAAGGCAGGCTATGCTGTAGTACAAGCCACTAGCCTGCCTCTTAGAACCTCTCATTTCCTTTCCATCGTGGAAATCTATCCTCAAGGAAATAACTTCTCAGTGTTCCATCTGCTATTCTACTACTCCTCAGGGATTATTCAGGCCCCCCTCCCTTCCCTACACATCAAGCTCCAGGATTTGCTCCCACCCAGGACTGGCAAATTAGCTTTACTCAACGTGCCCCAAGTCAGATAACTAAAATACCTATTAATCTAGGTAGACACTTTTACTGGATAGGTAGAGGCCTTTCCTACAGGGTCTGAGAAGGCCACCACAGTCATTTTTTCCCTTCTGTCAGACATAATTCCTCAGTTTAGCCTTCCCACCTCTATACAGTCTGATAACAGATCAGCCTTTATTAGTCAAATCAGCCAAGCAGTTTTTCAGGCTCTTAGTATTCAGTGAAACCTTTATATCCCTTACGGTCCTCTGTCTTCAGGAAAAGTAGAACGGACTAAAGGTCTTTTAAAAACACACCTCACCAAGCTCAGCCACCAACTTAAAAAGGACTGGACAATACTTTTACCACTTTCCCTTCTCAGAAGTCAGACCTGTCCCCAGAATGCTACAGGGTACAGCCCGTTTGAGCTCCCATATAGACGCTCCTTTTTATTAGGCCCCAGTCTCATTCCAGACACCACACCAACTTAGACTGTGCCCCAAAAAACTTGTCATTCCTACTATCTTCTGTTTAGTCATACTCCTATTCACCATTCTCAACTACTCATACGTGCTCTTCTCTTGTTTACACTGCCGGTTTACACTGTTTCTCCAAGCCATCACAGCTAATATCTCCTGGTGCTATCCCCAAACTGCCACTCTTAACTCTTCAGGTAAATAAATAATCTTTGCTGGCAGGACTATGCTGAATCTCCTTAGGCACTCTCTAATCAGATGTCCTGGGTCCTCCCAATTCTGAGACCTTTTATACCTGTTTTTCTCCTTCTCTTATTCCACTTAGTTTTTCAATTCATACAAAACCGTATCCAGGCCATCACCAATAATTCTACACAACAAATGTTTCTTCTAACAACCCCACAATATCGCCCCTTACCACAAAATCTTCCTTCAGCTTAATCTCTCCCACTCTAGGTTCCCATGCCGCCACAATCCCACTCGAAGCAGCCCTGAGAAACATCGCCCCTTATCTCTACATACCACCCCCAAAAATTTTCACCATCCCAACACTTTACCACTATTTTGTTTTATTTTTCTTATTAATATAAGAAGACAGGAATGTCAGGCCTCTGAGCCCAAGCTGTGCCATCATATCCCCTGTGATCTGCACATACACATCCAGATGGCCGGTTCCTGCCTTAACTGATGACATTCCACCACAAAAGAAGTGAAAATGGCCTGTTCCTGCCTTAACTGATGACATTGTCTTGTGAAATTCCTTCTCCTGGCTCATCCTGGCTCAAAAGCTCCCCTACTGAGGACCTTGTGACCCCCACTCTGCCCGCCAGAGAATAACCCCCCTTTGACTGTAATTTTCCTTTATCTACCCAAATCCTATAAAATGGCCCCACCCCTATCTCCCTTCGCTGACTCTCTTTTGGGACTCAGCCTGCCTGCACCCAGGTGATTAAAAGCTTTATTGCTCACAAAAAGCCTGCTTGGTGGTCTCTTCACTTGGACGCGCATGAAAGAAAACATTGGGAAAGACATTAAAACCAGTACAACAAAAAGAAAATATAGAAGGGCAATGAATATATGAAAAAATCTACAATCTTTTTAAGATGCTGGAAAATGAAAAAAAAACTAAATAAGAAATTACTACAAATCCTCACATATAGCTAATACCAAAATAACACTTAATAAGTGTGACATGAAGGATAGACAGCGATATTCATTTATTCTTGGTGGAAATGTAAATTGGTCAAAAAAGGCAATATATTTGGAAGTAGCTATTAAAGTTTAACATATTAAAAAATTCTATAACAAAACAATTCCATTCTTATATGTATATTTAATTATAATGTGTGCACTTTTGCACTGAGATGTATACGAAAAGGTAAATAGCAGGGCCAAATCAGAACCACACTAATGTTCATTAATGCTTAAATATTTGACAAATTTGAGAAAAAATACAGCAACAAAAATAAATGGAAGGCCTCTACATGTAATAACATATTTAAATCGCCCAAATATGTAGTCAAACAATATCCAAGACCATCTAGTGTATGAATCCACTTATACAAAGTTCAAAACCAGCACAAACAAAATTGTATTGATAGAAAATAGAACTATAGCCACATTTTGAAGAAAAGGTAGAGTAGTGATTGGACAAGGCATGAAAGTGTCTTGAAAATTACTAAAACATATTAAATTACTAGACCTGGATATGCTTATATATGTTTACTTTTGATTAATTAATTGTATTATGAAATTTTGTTCTGTGTAAATTTTTTTCTGTGTTATATTTCCCAATACAAAAGTTCAGGCCAGATGCGGTGGCTTACGCCTGTAATCCCAGCATTTTGGGAGGCTGAGGCAGGCGGATCACAAGGTCAGGAGATTGAGACTATCCTGGCTAACATGGTGAAACCCCGTCTCTACTAAAAATACAAAAAATTACCCAGGCATGGTGGCGAGCGCCTGTAGTCCCAGCTACTCGGGAGGCTGAGGAGGGAGAATAGCGTGAACCCATGAGGCGGAGCTTGCAGTGAACTGAGATCACACCACTGCACTCCATCCAGCCTGGGCGACAGAACAAGACTCTGTCTCAAAATAAATAAATAAATAAATAAATAAATAAATAAATAAATAAATAAATAAAAGTTCAAATAATTAAAAGACTCATTTATTTCTGTAGCCCAGAAATCTCTAAGATTTAGCTATTTCTTTGTCTAACTGTCTTCTATTACTACAATTTCCAATTATTTAACAGACATTAAATGTTTTTATTTCTATTTATGTATATATTTCTTCTCTAAAAACTACATTGTTTATGGAACTCTCCTACACCATATTTTATTTTATAAACAAACAGCACTGCAGTCTGGAATGCATTGCTATCTCCCTTATCATATTTGCATATCTCTTAAACTTTCTGTCCTGTCTTCTCAGCACTTCTTCTTCAACATACATTATGTCTATTATATCATTTTTTAGGTATTGTATGTGTCATCTTAGGTATGTGACTCTTTTTAATTTATAATAATCCTCCAGGACAGTTACCATGTCTTCCTCTCATTATTTTACAATATAATACAGTCTAAAAATACGTATTTAAAACGTTTTTAAAATTATTTTTTCAACCAAACGTGTTAATACATTCATAACGTCAATTCTGTAAATTTTGAGTTTTTCATTCTTATCAACTTGCCTGCCTTTTTTCAATTACTAAAAAATGGGGACCCAGTAGGTTTGGAAAATTAGATAACTACAAAAACACACTAAATACTCTATAAAGCATAAAAGCAATTTGAGAATAATGGGAATTTGATTTCATATGGTGTCATGCATAGTCAGTACTGGCTATAACATTATCAATACAAAGGTCCTAACTTTCTCATGCTTTTGAGATAAACATATGTGATCAATGATCTCTTTTAACAAATTTAGTAGTAGGGTATGTGTGGGATTTATACTTGTTTAAACTTATAAAAAACTTGAGAAAAAATACAGCAATGAACACGTTTTTGTTTTGGCAGGTGGATTCTGTCCCATTTGAAATCTAATTATCATTTGTTCTAATTTTTACAGGATGGCATGTAATTTTTCAAGCAAATTTTCTTTATTACAAAATCCATCATGAATTTTTCTATAAAACTATTTCTCAGGACTTAACACTATTGCAGAGAACAAAAGAACACCCTAACAAATGATAAATTACAATTAAGTGTCTGAGTAATTCTGGCAACCATGTATTACCCATCTCAGTATGTTATTAATTCCACAGAATATTTTTTGCATATGTTTTGAGACAGTAGGTTTATAGAAACTTTATTCATTTATATCAAACTTAAGTAGCCCAAAATATACTAACAGAAAGCATAATTAAATGGTGGTAAATAAAATTGCTTTAAAATATTAATAGAACGAAACTAAGTTAAATGAACAGACAATAAATATATAAAGGGTTATGAAAACCAATTTCTATTCTGAACAGCAATAATTTAGAATGAGTTTTTATTTTGAAAAAAATTTAAGTTACATACCTAAAGATATATAAATATTTTATGTTTCCTATTGAAAAATTACCAGTTAAATGTCCTTGAAACAATTACAATCATTGAATGAGAAATGAATAACCCCCCAAATCAGTGTAAATACTATATAATAGTTTTGCAAAATTAAATGAGAAATAGCTAAGGCCAAGATATTCAATTACTGTAGGCTGGCCAGTTTTTTGATGATCTAAAATAAAGACAAGAAGAATCATTTTCTGATGCCATGTCTGTGATTAATATAACTATAGAGAAACAGCTATGCTAAAATTTAGCACATATGAAGCAAAAAAAAATTATATACTAGTTATAGGTTGCTATGGCAATACGATGACAAAAGGATGCTAGTTTTGTAAGAAAAGGTGAGTACATTAATTTAATAAATATAATATGAAATCAAACTAGATAGGTTGAAGATTACTAATGCACATTATGTCCAAATGATTGTAATATTCCGGAGAGAATTTTAAAGAAAATTGAATCATACCTAACATAAAAGTATGTGAATATAAATTACAACTAGTTTAAGAATCACCAGTGCATGTATAAGCTATTTATGTAAACTTTGGACAATGTAAAATAAGGCTGAATACTCCAAAATATTAATAATTATTTTAAAAATTTATAAATTATTGTTAATATTTTTAGAAGAACATTATTTAATGATCCCATCAATATATTCTTTCTGGAGCTCATGTTATTTTCTGTCTAACTTTAATTATTTGCTTCAGGGGGACACATCTTCCACACAATTCCTGAGAAATATACTATGAAAGACAAATTTGAGATCTCGCATATTCCTGAAATGTTCATCTTAAATCCACATACATAATTTTGCATGCTGTCGAATTATACCCCAGAAATAATACCCTCAGAAAGACTTGTTAAGATGTATTCATTTTCTTTCAATTTTCAGTTTTGTTGTTGAGAATACTGGAGTCATTCTGCCTCAATGATTAATTTCCCATCCAGTAATTTGTTAGGATCTCTTTTCTTTGGGATCAGGCCTAATTGTGTTTCTCTATTGAAAAATCATTAGAACCAAGAACTAAAATATTGTTATTGGAATATTCATATTACCACAATCAACTATTAAAATTATATATACATACATACATACATACAAACACACACAGAGAGAGAGAGAGAAATATAAGCCACACATGATAGGATAGGTCCTATGCTGCTTGTTGTCCAATAATTGAAAATAGTGTTTAAAGAAGAACTAAATATGTTCTGAAATATACTGTCCTGCATGGCAAGCCTCAATATTTTTAGATTTCATGTTATTACAAATTGATCTAAAAATGTGAATTTGTCGATTTTGTTTAAATCGACAAGATAAATTTTAAATGTGAATAGAATTGCTAATGATTTAAAGTGACATGATTAACTTTAAAAAGAATGCTTCACTGGTCACACAGTCTGATTTCAAGACTTTGAACTACAATGCTTATGAGAGTGTGACATCTATTTCGGTCCATTTGTGTTTTAACAAAGTACCTGAAACTAGTTGATTTGTTTTAAAAATGGAATTTATGTTCTCACAGCTCTGGAGTGTAGAAAGTCCAAGATAAAGGTACCAGCAGATTCAGTGTCCGGTGAGGATGGCTCTTTGCTTCCAGGTTGGTGTCTCCTGCTGCATCCTCACACGGCAGAAAGGAGGGAAGATTTGTCCTCACACTAGAGAAGGAGAAGAAAGGCAAAAGCGCCAGGCAGCTGTCTGAAGGCTCTTCTGTATGGACATTTAATCTTATTCATGAAGACTGAGCCCTTATGAATTAATCGCTTCCTAAAAGAACATCTCTTCATGCCTTCAGCTTGGGGTTTACGTTCCAATAGATGAATTTTGGAGGGGCAAATACATTTAAATCATAGCAATGATGCAACAAAATTCATAATAAAAAACCCAGTTAATTTAACACAAGGCAGAATCTATAAAAAGACCCACACGTTTAGCCGGGCGTGGTGGCGGGCTCCTGTAATCTCAGCTATTCGGGAGGCTGAGGCAGGAGAAGGGCGTGAACCTGGGAGGCGGAGCTTGCAGTGAGCCGAGATCGCACCGCTACACCCCAGTCTGGGGGACAGAGAAATAAAATAAAATTAAATTAAATTTTAAAAAAGACCCATACATAGAGTCAGCTGATCTTTGAAATAGGTAACAGGACACTTCACAGGGGGTAGGAAGTGGGAGAAAAATGCTATAAAGACACATGCACACGTATGTTTATTGCGGCACTATTCACAATAGCAAAGACTTGGAACCAACCCAAATGTCCAACAATGATAGACTGGATTAAGAAAATGTGGCACATATACACCATGGAATACTATGCAGCCATAAAAAATGATGAGTTCATGTCCTTTGTAGGGACATGGATGAAATTGGAAACCATCATTCTCAGTAAACTATCGCAAGAACAAAAAACCAAACACCGCATATTCTCACTCATAGGTGGGAATTGAACAATGAGATCACATGGACACAGGAAGGGGAATATCACACTCTGGGGACTGTGGTGGGGTCGGGGGAGGGGGGAGGGATAGCATTGGGAGATATACCTAATGCTAGATGACACGTTAGTGGGTGCAGCGCACCAGCATGGCACATGTATACATATGTAACTAACCTGCACAATGTGCACATGTTCCCTAAAACTTAAAGTATAATAAAAAAAAAAAAAAAAAGATTTTAACATAATGATGCTCAAATGACATATTAATTAATACAAAAATGAAGTTTGACTACTATCTTAGGCCTTGAAAAAAATTAATTTGAGCTGAAACGCATACCTAAATACAAAAGCAAAACCTCTGAAACTTCTAAAGGTAAATGCAAGAGTATAGATTTGACACCTTTGGGAAAATAAAGATTCCTTACAAATTTCATGAAAATCACTAAATAAAAAAGAAAAAAATGGTAAATTAGACTTCATTAAATTTACATTTAGGCATAAAAAATGGAATATATAAAGATTAACCATTATCTCAGAAATAATATTCTTCACAAATGTAGTTGGGAAAGGATTCAGATCACAATCGTATAAAACTTCCATAAATCAATAAAACCCATATTTATCCCATTAAATAAGCAAGCAACTAACATTTCAAAAACAAAAATATAAAATGGCTGATAAGCCCATGTACACTGATATTCAACATCATTAGTCGTTAGGGAAATGCAAATGAAATGAGTTACAATTTCACATCCACTGAAACAGCTAAAATTTAGAAAAAACTGACAGTGGAGAATGTTGATGAGCCTGTGGCACAACCAGAACTCTACTACATTGAAAGAGTCTATCAATAGTACATTCATTTTGGAAAATCATTTGTCAGCTTCTTATGAAGTTAAGTGTAAAGTTACCCTATGGTCTCAAATTTTCAATAGAAATAAAATTATAAATAAAGTAAAATTTTTATAGAAATGTCAGAACAGCTTTATTAATCACAATCTAGGAATAACCCAAATTCCCATAAATAGAAAAATTAACAAATTGTGGCATTTCATATAGTGAAATAATACATGATAGTAAAAATGAATGTAGTATTCATAAATGCAGTAACAGGGAGGATCGCAAAAGCATTATTAAATCCGAGTAATACAGAAAAACGCAAGCTACAGACTATGTAATTTAAACTGGTTTAAGCCTTGAAGAAATACGTTTTATATTTGTGGTAGAGTGATGTAGTGATCTCTAAGTCAATCATATCCTCAAGAATTAAATTTGTTTTTGCCTCACTGCTTGGTTACCCACAATATTGGTCTTATCCTAAATCTTTTCTGCCTTGTAGCTATAAGAGGGCTGCCCTTAGAAATTATGCATTTTATTTACTCGCAGTAGAAAGGAGGTACTGACTCCTGTGACTCTCCTAAGAACAAGAAAAGGTTTGCCCCAGAAGTCCACTAGAGACCTCTCCTTAGATTTTACTGACTTAAAATAGTTAGACTTCTTCATTCTCTATCCAACCATCACTATTATGAGAAAAGAGATTGCTTTGATTTACTTACAATGAATGACTCAACCTGTGGTAAAATTGAGTGGAAAAATAATTTCCCAAAAATGATTTAGAATTAAAACACATACATAACTACCTTCTTAAAGACAATATTAATAGATTGTTATCAATGAAAGATTACCAGGGTTGGAGACACCAAATAGTTATTTTAAAATGAAAATAGTTTAAAACATGTATTCTGTGAGATTAAAGAAATCTATCTAAGTCAGGTTGGGCTAGCTAGTTTTAATTTTAAATATATATACCTAAATGTGCACAGTAGGTAAAGAAAGTACCAAGCATCTATAAAAATTATTTGTGAAGAATTTCTTTCTCATCATGAGAGCTGTGCTTCTCATAACCTGAACATTATATAATTTTAAGGTTTAAGAGTTGTATCTGTGCAATTAAAAAACATGACTTGACTGGGATGATAGAGAAAATTACAAAACTCTTTTGGCTTTAGTGAGGACATGAGTCTTATTAGCAAAAGAGAAAGTAATAAGGTTTTCAAGACAAATCTGCTGTTTTGTACAGCAATTTTGGCTATAATCATAGCATATCATCACCTGAAAACAAGAGATCAAGTTTCCAGCTATGTTGGAGGATGCTGGCTAGACTGCAATTCAAAAATTTAAATCCACCTTGTACTTACATTATTGACATATAAGAATCAAGAAATGCTAGTTCTGTAGTGGCTAACTCTTTAAAAGCCATCTGCAATCACACTGGGTGGTGTGCTGGCAGTTGGTATTAAAAAGTCACTCAGCTCATCAGTGGTTCCAATTAGCTGATATGTAGTGGAGCACCCTGGCAAGTTGTCTCAACTGCCATGTTAAATCTAGGCAGGATTCTCGACTATGGAAACTGCTAGTGAAGTGAAACAGGTGGTCCTCCCAGTGCAGAAAGTCACCTAGAGACTAGTCAAATATCACTCAGATCATCTAGCATTCTGCTCAGGATATATAATGTGTCCACGTAGGCATCCTAATCAAAATGTGGTATCATTCCAACGCGCTATTAATATTTAAAAATTTTAATTCAGAATATATTTTAATGTTTTGCTGTGTATATACACAAGTGTTTTTAAATTAAAATCACTTTAGTTTGAGGAATGAAAACCCAGGCCTCTCCAATTAGGTTCTGAGATATTTATCTGATATGGTATTTCAAATACAATGGTGTGACAAATGAATAATCACCAGTCTGTAAAAATAAAACTTTAACACTTGAGAAAAGTGCAGAATCAATATAAAATCATAAAGAAAGCATAATAATTAGTGCTCATAAACTAGTTATAATGTCTAAAGAGAATAATGAGTAAACTTCATGTAATATAATCAAATATTTATTGCCTGAAATTATATCAAATGCTCTCATTTGAAGTACTAAATTTCTTGTAATATTTTCTGTTTACATCACAAAGCCATCAAAAAGAAAATATACAGCATTAAGCAAACACACACACACACACACACACACACACACACACATAGCTGTCAAATAAGAAAGAACAATAGCCATTTGTATTGTTCCTAAAAAGCAACATAAGGTTTTGATATATGCAGCTTTAGTTAAGCTTTATCACTTGTTTTTCCCTTAAAATCTAATAAATAGATTTAATTTCAGAAGATAGAATTTACAAATATCAGCAGTTTCAGTAGAGAGAATTCACAAACATCAGGTTCTAAAATTTCACAGTAATTACCTGAAGTAGCTGCCTCCCATGCAATTGTCCTACACAGATTAATAACAATATTAATGATGAAAATAATAGTAACTTTAAGAAACTTATTTTGAGTGAGCCTTGATAAAATCTCCGCTTTCTGGCATCCAGAGTTGTTATGGATTGAATTGTGTCACTTCAAAAATTCATATGTTGCAATTCTAATTCTTAATTCCTCAAGCGCCTTTACAGAGGAAGTAAAAACGAGATTATTAAGGTGATTCCTAATCCAACATGACTGTGTACTTATAAGAAAAGGCAATTTAGGCTCAGGCACAGACAGAGGGAAGAAAATATGAAGACACTGAGAGTAGACAGTCATCTACAAGGCATCAGAAGAAACAAACCATCTTGACACCTTGTTTTCTGACTTCTAGCTTTTAGAACTGTGAGAAAATGTTTTTGTTGTTTAAGCCACCTAGTCTTTAACATTTTTTTTTGTTGAAGCCCTAGCAACTGAACACAGCCTTACAGATAGAAACAAACATTTACAGATTATTTTAATAAGAATAATGAAAAATTGGTCACTGCTTTTCTATTAATGCATTATAATTTACTAATATCTTTAAATATATCCCTGAGAGAATTGTATTATAATAAATATAAATATACATATAGGTGTATGCACATATTATTTTAAAAGCCGTAATAGCCCGTACAACATATTATCTACTTTAAGATTTTATTGTTTCCTGGAGGTATCGTAATAAAATGGCTGACATTCTAGTGCAAGACAGGTCTAGTGGATGTAACAGATTTCATATTTTTTCAGATTAATTTTAATTAAAATAGAACATGGTTCATTCCCCCATCTTTTTAAAAAATAAAATTTAAATTAGATTTTTATTATAGAGATTATCAACATTGCATTCATGTCAAATGTATTATTTATTTTGCTGATATTAGCAGTTGTAGGAATATAATGCCACTTTTTAACATTGAAAAGATAAACCTCTAAAGATAGAACATCTTTAGGTGTGTAAAATTCAACTAATGATATTTATATCATCATGATTTATTAGAATATCCCCTTTATGAAGTAATAATAATTATTATTTTCATTGTGGGAAAATGCACATATAAATTTTACCATCTTAAATTTTTTTAACTGTACAGTCCAGTGGCATTAATATATTCATATTGTTGTTCAATCATCACTGCCACCCATCCAGAGAACACTTTTCATTTTGCAAAGTTGAAATTATGTACCCACTAAACATAACTCCCCATTTCCCCCTCTTCTCAGCCCCTCATAATCATCATTCTACTTCCTGCCTGTATCAATTTAACTTCTCTAAATCTACTTTCTGTCTCTATGAATTTATCTACTGTACCTCATGTAAGTGAAGTCATATAGTAGTAGTCCTTTTGTGATTGATTTAATTGACTTAACCTAATGACTTCCAGGTTGATCCATGTTACAGCATGTGTCAGAATTTTCTTCTTCTTTAAGGCAAAATAATATTCTACTCCCTCTCTCTCTCTCTCTCTCTCTCTCTCTCTCTCTCTCTGTGTGTGTGTGTGTGTGTGTGTGTGTGTGTGTGTGTGTGTGTGTGTCCTGTTTTATCTATTTATTTTTTTAGGAGCAGACACTTGGATTATTTCTACCTTTTCTCTATTGTGAGTAATGCTGCTATAAACATGGGTGTACAAATATTTCCTTGAGTCCTTATTTAAATTATTATTTGGGTAATGTAACCAGAAGTGGAATTGCTGGTAAATGTATTTTTAGTTTTTATAAGAACCATGATACTGTTCTTCAGAGACTCCATTTCACATTCCCACCAATAGTGGCCAAGGGATCCAATTTACTCACATAAATTGCCAACACTTGTTATTTCCTGTTTATTAGGGAGTTGCTATCCTAATAATGGAATAAGGTGGTATATCACTGTAGTTTAACTTTGCACTTCTCTAATACTTAATGATGTTGAACATCTTTTCATATACACATTGACAATTTGTATATACTCTTTGGAGAAATGTCTATTCAAGTTCTTTGCCCATTTTAAAATTGGGTTCTTTGATCTTTTGTTGTGGAATTGTAAGAATTATTTATATGTAATGTATATTAATCCCTTACCAGATAATTAATTTGAAAACATTTTCTCTCATTCCATAATCTGCCTTTGTACTTTGTTGAGTCTGTTCTTTAATGTACATTTTTAATTTTGACATAATGCATTTCATCCATATATTTTTTGTTGCCTGTGTTTTTTGTCATATCAGTGAAATCATTGCCAGACTGATGTCTGAAGATTTATATCCTGTGTTTTCTTTTAAAAGTTACAGTTTTAGCTCTTGTGTTTAGTCTTTGATCAATTTTGAGTTAATTTTTATATATGGTGTTAGGAAAGGGTTCAACTTTATTTTGCCTGTGGATATTCAGTTTTCCCTAAAGCATTTCTCGAAAAGACTGTCCTTTTCTCATTGAATCGTCCTAGAATCACTGCCAAAAATGATTTGACCATGTATACAGGGGTTCATATGTGAGCCCTCTACTATATTGCATTGGTGTATAATTCTTCCTCTTTGATAATACCACACTGATTTGATTTCTGTTAAAATGAAATCAAATCATAAAGTTAAAATGAGTTCATTGTTTTAAGCCCTAATCCAATGATTGGTGTCCTTACAAAAATGGGAAATTTGGACACAGAGACATTATAAAAGGAAAACTATATAATGAGATATAGAGAAAATATGGCCATACACAAGCCAAGGATGGAGGCCCATCCTCATGAGGCCCCAACCTCAGAGGGAACCAACTCTGTAGACATTTTGATTTTTGACTTCTTATTTATGTAACTGTGAGAAAATAAAATTCTGATTTTTTAAGCCATCCAGTTTGTGGAACTTTGTTACAGCAGCTCAAGCAATTAACACATTGTTTATAATGAAATACCTGCAGGATAATGTCATTAATTATTTTATTTTAAATGTGACTAAATCTTAAACCATTGTACTATATATTTTGTTCATGTTGAAAAATATAAATTTATTATTTAATGATAAACAATGTGATTTATATTGCTGTATACATTTTAATGTATTTACAGTTAGGAATACATATACTTACAGATATATGTTGATCCTCTAATGATCCTGCCATGTTTGAAAAGCAAATTAAGAGTACTTTAAAGTAAGGTCATATTCCACCACATTTAGGAGGAAGGATTTCTGTTAATGCTATCAGAGGAAAAGCATACAACTTATTAAAGGCACCTAATATACATTAAGACCTACATGATTTTATTAGGATATAATCAAACATTAGTATATTAGACAGTAGTAAAAACTGAAAATCTATTTTATTTGTAGAGAGTTTTATTTTGGTCTTGCTTTAACTTAGAATTACTTGTCCTGAATATTTTGGTTGTCAATATGTGCTATTTGAATCAAACAAGTGAAATACGACCATCTTATAGTGGGCCAAATCTTTCAGGCTATGAAAGCTCAAATGAAAACCGAATCAAGGAGTATTTTCAAATAACACTATACTAAATACGTAATATTCTCAACAGTGTCTTTGTACAAATTGTAATTATTGTGATTGTTTTGGTGCTATAATAACAATTTTTTACAACCACAATGAGAAGACATCGGCTCGAAAATTAATTATTCAGTGCTAATATCAAATATGTTCTCATTGGAACTTTGCACTTTTTCCTCTATTGATTGTAAAATGTTCAGTTATCGGACTCGGTTTCTTATGGTACCAAACACTGGGGTGGAAATGCACATTTAAACGAATTCTTTAAGATATTAGTTTGGATGTGCTCCATTTAGTTGTGCTCTGCCATTTTCTTGTGCATATATTCGAGACAAGCAAGTAGATTCTATTGCTTTCCATTACTCTCCTACCATTCAATCTGTGATTTTGTAAGTAGGGAATTTCAGTATAAAATCAAAGAAATCTGCATCTAAAACATATTTGGAAGCATAGAGTAAGTACCTAAATGTTTAAAATGCTTTAGTTGAGCACTAAAGCATTAAAATGTCTAACAAACTAAATGATGGGGTTATAAGAATTTCTAAGGTTCATGTTTGTTAAAAGACAATTATTGTCACAGCAGTGTGTTTAAAGAAGCTATATAACAATTCAGTTAAAAGATTTTCTCACTAGCATTTTATCTTTAAACTTGATGTAGACATTTTGTGGGAAAATATATTAATATATACTATTTTGTGTCTTTGGATACACTGTGAAACATATGAGGTGTTTTTTAAAAAGGAAAAAAAAAAACCTTCTGTATGCCTATGCATATGTAATTGTATAAGATTATGAAGTTATACTTGTAAATAATTTAATTCTATCTTATTTAGTGTTTTACAAAACTAAAATGATCTGAAGTTTTATTGTATTTGTAGTCTAACAAGTTAGGCTGCCACAATATTTCATGTGGCCAAACGCATGAGACAAGGCGTATTGTCAGTCCTCAATAATAGCTGCATAGTATCAGTTATTTTGTGTGTGGAAGTTCTCTGAGCCCAAATTCCCAAAAGGTGATGAGAACAGAACCAGATTAACATCTACAAAAGCAACAAATTTCATTGAAAGGCAGAAACTTGAGCTTAGCAGATCCAAAATTTTATACTTGAAGTAAGTGTGTCTCCGTTTGTTTATGCAGGAGACAATCTCCGTACCTTCCAAGGCTGTTTGCTGTACAGATATCCCTGAAAAAGATAATCAGGAACAAATTTGTTAGTGTCGCTGCTTGTAAGATGTACCAAAATTTGGAAACCGTGAAGAACTTTCTCACAACAGTATTTCAATTTGGTATTATTTAAATACACTTAAATTTGGTATTATTTAAAAACACTTAAATTTACACATATGTTGACATAAAGAGACATCCAAGGCCCTCTCCATTTTTAAAATCTAAAATGAAGTAAAGAATATCCAAGAAAAGCTATGTTACCAACTTCAAGGCAAAAATCAAACCATGTCACAGAAAGTATACTATGTCTAAGAGAAGTGTAACTTGACTGCTCCGTGACAGTTTATCTCTAAGATCATAGCCTCATCCGTGTTCATCCTATCACACTTTTTAGAAAGCAAATTCAAAAAAAAATTCTTGTCAAAATCATTCCTGTACAAAATGTATTAAGCAGCCTGCCTGGCTTAATAAATTTAAGCTTAATAAATTCAGTTCAGCTATAATGAGAAAATATGGGGGAAACAAGACAAAACAAAAAAAAAAACTCAAGCACTGCATATTGTTAAGCAAAAGTTTGCAACGGTTAAGGCCTCTTCAAAAATAATATGTTGTGTATTTCATTTGGATATCACTTAAAATATTACTGTCTAGAAATTCATTCAGATTTTGGTGTCTGACCAAGAATGTATAATTCTGTCCACCTAAATCACTTTTTATCAGAGACATAGTTCAGTTATGAATCTTGCAAATCCACCAAATCACTAAGACAACTCCCAAACATTTTTCTTTTCTTTTTTCTTTTTTTCTTAGACTGAGTCTCTCTGTCACCTAGGCTGGACTGCAGTGGCATGATCTCAGCTGACTGCAATCTCTGCTTCCCGGATTCAAGCAATTCTCCTGCCTCAGCCACCCGAGCAGCTGGGATTACTGGTGCTTGCCACCACGCCTGGCTAATTGTTTGTGTGTTTAGTAGAGATGGGGTTTCACCATGTTGGCCACGCTGATCTCGAACTCCTGACCTCAGTTGATCTGCCCACCTCGGCCTCCCAAAATGCTGGGATTACAGATGTGAGCCACCAAACCCGGCCAAACATTTTTCTATTAAAGCACACACTAAGATGATAATATTTTATGGCCCATTAGAAGATGAGGCTTTTTTTCTGCCTTGAGGAAATCTCCCTGGGAGATCAGGAGATTAAGAGGATTAGTTACTTGAGGCAAATGTTTACCATAAACAAGATAATTGCACACCAGTAGAACATCAGATTTGGAAATAGCTACAATAGAACTAGTAATCTATTTTAGAGCTATGCCAGGTACATCAAGGAGGAAAATTTGAAACATACATATGAATTTGTACCATTTATATATCAATTAATTATATTTGTCCTCTTATACATTTGCTGATATGCACATAGAGAGGAAATGGAATAACAGTATTAGGTTCCATGGCTATAACAACAGTAAACTTACTCTACGGAATTGTGAGGATTAAGGAGCAAAATTCAATTTGTATAATTTATCCTATAGAGATAAATGGTGACACTAAGGACACATATGTTAGAACAATTATTCCGTTATTCCACAGAGAAAATTTCAATTAGTAAAGAAGAATTGAAGAAATCATGAGATGTCTACATAATAAAATTGTATGTAGACATGAGCAAACAATGTATTAGAACAATGAAATTCACCTTGGAGATATTTCTACAAGGTATTGTTAAATGTTAAAAAACAAATTTCAGAAAAAATCTAAAATAAAGTTTGCCCCCCAAAAATACGGTACCCCAAATAAGCATTTGTATTAGTATTGTTAACCATGTTCTGAGCAGGCTCCCTTTCCCATGTAGCCTGATAGTAAATGTACAGTGATTTATAACACAAACATATACAAATAAACACACATATTTATGACTCAACTTGGGCAGAAGCACTTGTATGCTATATATATTTTGATCTTATTTTCCATATCGTTTCATTCTCACTTAATTTTAAATTAAGAATAAATATGGTGAACTGGATTGATCTGACTGAATCCCAACTCAAGCCCACTGCATTCTAACACACACATATATAAATATGTAAAACATAACATTTAAAATATATGTTGTAGTTGAAAATTAAATAAAAAACTCTTATGTTTACATAAATTAGGAGTTAACTCAATATTGAGTGAGCACTGGAAGACCATGGGTTATAGGTATCAGATGTATCTTAAGGGGTACTGACTGAAAATAAGACAAATTCGGATCTATGGACTTGGTAAACAATACAATCCCATTGGATTAAAAAAATGAAAAATGAATGAGTGGCCCAGAAAATGAATATGAAGAAGGAAGGCCCAGGAAAGAAGGGGGGCTGGGCACGGTGGTTCATGCCTGTAATCCCAGCACTTTGGGAGGCCAAGGCAGGTAGATCATGAGATCAGGAGTTTGAGACCAGCCTGACCAACATGGTGAAACATAGTCTCTACTAAAAATACAAAAATTAGCCAAGAGTGGTGGTGCACAGCAGTAATCCCAGCTATTCAGGAGGCTGAGGCAGGAGAATTGCTTGAACCCAGGAGGCAGAGGTTGCAGTGAGCTGAGATCGTGCCACTGCACTCCAGCCTTGGCAGCAGAGCAAGACTCCATCTCAAAAAAAAAAAAAAAAAAAAAAAAGATGGGAGATCACTGAATATTATAAAAAGCACACACACAAAAAAAATTTAAAAATTATAAGACTAAAAACTATAAAACTTCTGGAAAAGTGTATAGGGAAAGAGCTCCTGCCAAAGTAGTGACAATAATTCTTCTTTCGGATATCACATCAAAAGCTTGGGCAACAAAAACAAAAGTAAATAAATGAAACTACCCCAAACTATAATGCTTCTGCACACACACACAAATAATAACTAAAATGAAAGCACAGCTTATGAATTGGGAAAAAATTTCTAAACCATATATGTAATAATCCAAATTTACAATGAACTCATACAAGTCAATAGTGCAGAAACCAATAACCCAATTTTAAAAATGGACAAAAGTCCTGAATACACATTCTCCAAAGAAGATATAGAAACAGCCAACAGGTATACGAAAAGATGCTCAGCATCATTAATCATCAAAAAGCGCAAATACAAATCACTTTGAAATACCACCTCACACCCAATAGTATGAGTATTACCACAGACAAAAGATAACAAAGTCTGTCAATGACAAATGAATAAAGAGACTTTGGTCCAACATATAACATGGACAATTTTTCAGCCCTAAAAACAACTAGCTTTTTGCCATTTCCCACAACATGGATGAGCCTGGAGTACACTGTGGTAAGTAAAATAAGCTATACATACAAAGAAAAAATATTTCCTGATCTCACTTATATGTAAAATCTAAAAAAGAAATGTCAAATATCCAGAGATAGAGAATGAAATAATGGTTACTAAGGGCGAAGTTTGGTTGTGGGAAGGAAATGAGAAAATGCAGGTCAAAGCAGATGTGCAGATGAAGGATGAACAAGTCTAGAAATCCAATGTAAAATAGGAGGACTATTCATAATAATATTGTATTGTATATGAAATTCATTCTGAATAAGTAGACTTTCGCTGCTCTTGCCAGAAAAATAAAATTGTGGGTAACTGTGATATTATGCTTATGTTACTTTGCGTGACTAGCAACCCTTGTACTATCCATGTGTCTATGATCCTTTTTATTTTAATATTGTTGAATTATACCAAAAATTAGTATCAAATTGATTAATGCTTCTTGTGTCTAATTTTATAATCCTAAGGACTTAGAGCTTTAGGTTGTAAGAGTTTACTTATATTAAAAAATGCTAAAATATCTTTATATTATTTAATTAAATTCTACTTAGGCATATGCTGTTATTATTTTCTCATATTTTGTAGAAATTCAATTGCTTGCATTTTAATGCAACTATTTTTATTAGCCAAATTGGAAATGTTTTATGGTTTTTATTCTGTTGTCTCCTACTAACTTCATAGTTGTACTAGCATTACGTCATAATTTTAACATGTGAAAATTTCATATTTTTATAATATATTTGAATAATGGAGGAATTGGTTATCATTTGAAGATAGAGAAAAACTTATTAGTAAAACTACTTGATCTAATATATTTATACGAAATACCAAGATGAGTATGTAGGGAAGGGGAAGCTGGTATATATGTCTTCAAATGTATTTCTTTTTTGGTTTTGTACTATTTATCATTGTAATTTTGACCATTGCTGCTCTCTTTTTACAGTTTGTTGTGTTTTTTGTTCTTTTTGCTCACATACACACAATCCCACCTTATTGTTTGACATAAAGATTTTTAATTGTACAATGGGTTTATCAGGATGTAACCCCACCCCATCATAAGTGGAGGAGGAGCCTCTTGTCTTACAATGATTCAACTTGTGATTTTTCTACTGTACAATGGGATTTACAAAGAGCTTGTTGGCATATAAACCCATTGTAAGTTGAGAAACATCTGTACTCTTTCCTGCCTTTCATTTGAATTCTATTTATTCTGTAACTGCTATTCTTGTACCTACGAGTTTTTCTATGTCAAACTTTTAATTTATATTAAATATTTCAAAGGCTTATTTGTAATTTTATTTTTTACTCAATATTTAATTGGGAGTAATTATGCTTGATTTCCAACTTGATAGCATTCTTATATTTTTATTATATTTATCTGTGATTTCTACTCAACATTTTTACCATCAGGGATATAGTATATGCGATAACAGTTACTTTTCTTGCGTTGTAACAACATAGCTTCAGAGTTGTACTACCACTGATGGCAGCGGTGGCTGGTGTGGAACAGCCGCTGTGAAGATGCTGGCTGCAGCATGGGAGGCATGACCAGGGCTGCAGACTCCACAGAGCCAGTGGGATCCAGAAACAGGTGGGAGCTCCACCCCCTTCCAAGTTGGCAGGGAGGGATCCCCACCCTCCCAGGCACAGCTGCAACTGTCCAGCCTTGGTTGAGGACCCGGGCACCCCTGCACCTCAGGGACCAGGGAAGCCTCCCCACGCCTGAAGGCTAGGAAGTGCCTGCTCCCATTGGCCAGCCTCTCCCTGTTCCTGGTGTCCACTTCAATTTTGGAGCAAAGTTGAGGCTGAGCCTGGGGGCTGTCACAACCTGGCCAACTGTGCACACACTCGGGGCAACGCTGACATGAAAGCCCCCGGCCACCTTGGCCCCCTCAGAACTTTGGGCGTTGAAGAGCACGGGAGGGAGGGTGAGGTGGGTTCCTGAGGGTGGCTCCGCATAGGCCTCGATACCACGGAGGCAGACAGTCTTCTGGGCAGAAAGGGGCAGATCCCTTGTGAAGCCCCACCTTCAAGCCAGGGATGGCCTGAAGAATTCAGGCTGTCAGTTCCAGGTGGAGTCTGCAGACAGGAGTGAAAACTTACAGTGCCTTCTCCAGGCTGGCCTGTGGCTGCCCATGGACCAATCAGTATGTACTTCCTCCATTCTGAGCCCATAAAAATCCAGGACTCAGCCAAACTGGAACAAACATCCAGACTACCTGCCTGCAGGTAGCAGCTACATGCTATGAATTCTCCAATTTTTTTCCACTCTGATGTCCTTTTAATGTTAAACTATCTCTTAAGACATTTATTTGCTCCCACATCTTAACTGTAGATGGTAAAAGTAGCCACACAGAAAACTAAATTATTTGTTGTCTGGATATTTTTTCTGCTGGATATCCTAGTTCATTGCTCTTAACTTCTGCCTTCAATTAAGCCGACTATCATTGACACAATTCAACTAAGGCTTTTGCTTCTTTATAACAGGGATGGTCTTAAGTCCACTCTCCATTACCTTGTTTTTCATTTCTATCTAAGAGCTCATCAAAATTACTCTATGCTCTGTTCAAAGCAATGCAGCCTTTTTTTTCTAATTGGCTGCTACAAATTCTTACAGCCTCTACCCATTACCCAGTTCCAAAGCCTCATTCACATTTTCAGGTAATTGCAATAGCAATAGCCCCACTTCTCAGTGCCAATTTTCTGTTAGTCCATTGTCTACTGCCATAACAGAATACCACAGACTGGTTAATTCATAAAGAACAGAGGTTGATTTAGCTCACAGTTCTGGAGGCTGGGGAATCCAAGAGCATGGTGCCAGCACCTGCTCAGGGCCTCCCATGAAGGAAGGGAGGAAAGAGAAAGAGAGCCCCTGAGACAGGGAAGGAAATGGGCTTAACTCATCCTTTTTGCACTCCAGCAATAACTAACACACTCCCACAATAACAGTGTTAATCCATTCATAAAGGCCAAGCCCTCATGAAATAATCACTCTTTTTTATTTTTTTATTTTATTTTTTTAGACAGAGTTTCATTCTTGTTGCCCAGGCTGGAGTGCAGTGGCAAAGTTTCAGCTCACTGTAACCTCCGCCTCCCAAGTTCAAGCAATTCTCCTGCCTCAGCCTCCCAAGTACCTGAGATTACAGGTACCTGCCACCATGCCTGGCTAATTTTTTTTTTTTTGTATTTTTTGTAGAGATGAGGTTTCACCATATTGTCTAGGCTTATCTTGAATTCCTGACCTCAAGTGACCCGCCTGCCTGGGCCTCCCAAAATGCTGGGATTACAGACCTGAGCCAATGCACCTGGCCAAATAATGACTTCTTAAAGAGCCCATCTCTAAATACTGTTAGGATAAAATTAAATTTCAACATGAGATATGGCAGGGACATTTATAGTGGCATCATCACAATATAACAGAGCCATATCATACTTTTGTATGTGACTGATATTAACACATAATATGAATTAAAGAATAAAACATATTGGCAGGATACACACATGTGAAAACATGTTGGCTAGTTTTAAACACAAGGAGACACACACACATACAACGAAATACTATTCATAATTGGTCAACTCACATATATCAGAAATACTTAAAAAGAGCTTTCTGTTCCTGTGTGGACCCTTGCCAGGGTTTCAGAAGACAAGATTATATGAGCAGGTGCGCTTCTTCAGGGTTCTCCTGTTTCAGAGAGAGAAGTTAAGAGTCCTGCAGTTTCCTTCACTTGGCTGACATTGATCGCCTGCAGTTAAGCTCTGTTTTCACAGATGAGATACTTCACCTTGTCTGGATATAGTCAACTGAGGATCTCCATGCCTGCTGGGCCAAGTACAGAAATATATTTCTGTCTTACCCTGACTCTGGCTTTAACCTGAGTCCAGCGTGTTTTCTCTTTTTGTCTCTAGGTAAGGCTAAAAATTAATTTGCCTGAGTAGCCATAAACCATTTAATATACTTATGCCTTAAAATATTTAAAATTGTCTAAACATGCTAAAGTCAGCAGCAAATATCTGTGCATTCTTAGTTAACATAGCAAGAATTTTTTTAAAAATTAAAGACCATTATATATCTATGCCCAAATGACTGATAAGCTTCAAACATTGAGTAAAAAACATGCAATTGTCAAATAAGACCAAATAATGTTAACTTTCATTCATTCTTTTGATGTCAAAAACATTCTATTTTCACAGAACCGTACATTTTCAGGAAGGAAAGGAAAGTGAAAGATCATCTACACTAGCTTATTCTCACATGCCTTGGCATTCCACACAATTACTATTCACTCACTGTTTTAATAACTCAGTGATATGGATCTTACAACCCTCATCATGTAGATAACCTTCTGAAACTATTTTAAGATGGCTATATTAGTCCATTCTCACACTGCCATACAGAACTGAGACTGGGTAACTTGTGAAGAAAATACGTTTAATTGACTCAGTTCCACTGGCTTATTAGGAAGCATGAATGCAGATGTCAGAAAACTTACAATCATGGCAGAAGATGAAGAGGAAGCAAGAACATCTTCACATGGCAACAGGAAAGAAAGAGAGAGAGACAGAGAAGGGGGACGTGCCACATACTTTTAAATCATCAGAACGCATAAGATGTCACTCACTATCATGAGAAGAGCAGGTGGGAAATCCGCCCCCATAATCCAATCATCCTTCACAAGGCTTCTTCTCTGATTCAACATGAGATTTGGGTGGGGACACAAATCCAAACCATATCAATGTCAGTTCTAATTATTATAAAATTTTATGGCATTAAACATACAAATCTGTTTTCCAATACTCTACTAGTCATAGTCCCAGATAAAATATCTAAATCCTAATTGTTGTGACAGACTTTCAAATATTTGAAAAGTTATGTTTGTCTGAAATCTTTTCCTGCCAGGAAGATCCTATTCCTTTAGAACTTCTCTATGATAAGGCTTCTTTTTCTTTCTCTATCTTCACTACTGATGTTTGGAAGAATTCCAGCTTAACACGTTCTCCTTTAACTATAACTCTCAGAACTGTGTACATACAGCACTCCCTTTGAAGTCTGATAACCAAAAATAAGAGCAGATATATTAGAATTTCAAGAAAAATATATGTCATTACATGATGTTATCATGATTAATCCATTTTATTCTTTCCCTTTGAAACTAACAAAATGTGTATTCTGCTTACCTGTTTTTTGTCTACATTTCACAATGCAAAACACACAAAATGTTGTCTGTGTTGCTATTAGGCT
This sequence comes from Homo sapiens, assembly GCF_000001405.40. Lineage (NCBI taxonomy): Eukaryota > Metazoa > Chordata > Mammalia > Primates > Hominidae > Homo > Homo sapiens. The sequence goes on along the minus strand of NC_000013.11, from coordinate 87,164,987 downwards.
TTTATTTTTTATTGTTAGCACCCATATAATAATGTTGAACTTATAAATTGTACTTGTTATGAACTCCTTTTTTTAACTTTTATTTTAAGTTCAGGGGTATACCTGCAGGTTTGTTACATAGCTACACTTGTGTCATGGGGGTTTGTTGTACAGATTATTTCATCACCCAGGTATTAAGACTAGTACCATTAGTTATTTTTCCTGATCCTCTCCCTCCTCCCAACCTCCACCCTATGAAAGGCTCTAGTGTGTGTTGTTCTTCTCTATGTGTCTGTGTGTTCTCATCATTTAGCTCCCACTTATCAGTGAGAACATGAGGTATTTCGTGTTCTGATCCCGTGCTAGTTTGCTAAGGATAATGGCCATATTATTTCTACCCAGTAAATTTTCAACCTTTAATACATGAGTTATGCTAAATTTCAAACTTAAAAAAAGTTTTATCAACTTGCCATATTTAATACATTAGTGACATTATCTGGGTTTATGGCCAATGCCAATTATTTAAAAAGTCTTTCTAGATTTATTTTATGTATTTATTTATAGGTGGAGTCTCACTATGTTGCCCACGTTGTTCTCAAACTTCTGGGCTCAAGCAATCCCCCTCTTCAGCCTGCTGTGTAGCTGGGACTACAGGTGTGTGCCACTGGGCCTAGATCAAATTTATTTATTTATTTTGAAAGGAGAAGCTTAAGGAGTCAGATTCAGTAAACTGTTTCTCTCTTGCTTTGTATTATCAGAATGTAGCAATATTTACTTATCATGAAATAATGACTCTTGAATAAAGACTATTCTATTAGGGTATTCTTGTCCATTCATCATTAGCCTTTCAATAGGAATTAGCTACCTGTGAGTTTACCTAACTGAATTAAGAGTCTACATTTTTAAAATGTCCATAAAAGAATCTTGCCACTACTAACTTCACAGTGACAATTCATTTTTAATTCATTAAAATCGAATTTTTAACACATTCTATTTTTTGATTTCCCCTTTCCACTGTCTCTCCCTATTTTTACCCATCCAATTCCTTCCTGCCAAATAAATTTTCCTGAAGCTCAGCTCTGATAAAAATATTTACCAATAAGAAAATGTATCTGACATAAAAGCCTCATTAATAATTATTATTAATAAACTATTTATTTATTTTTATATTTTACTATATGTTCTGGGATACATGTGCAGGTTTGTTACATAGGTATACATGTGCCATGATGGTTTGCTGCACCTATCAACCTGTCATCTGGGTTTTAAGCCCTGCATGCGTTAGGAATTCATCCTAATGCAATCCCTCACATAGCCCCCCAAACTCTGACAGGCTCCAGTGTATGATGTTCCCCTCCCTGGGTTCATGTGTTCTCATTGTTTGACTCCCACATATGAGTGAGAATATGCAGTGTTTGGTTTTCTATTCCTGTGTTAGTTTCCTGAGAATGATGGTTTTCAGCTTCATCCATGTCGCAGCAAAAGACATGAGCTCATTCTTTTTTTATGGCTGCATAGTATTCCCTGGTGTATATGTGGCACATTTTCTTTATCTAGTCTATCATTGATAGGCATTGGGTTGGTTCCAAGTTTTGCTATTGTAAATAGTGCTGTAATAAATATATGTGTGCATGTGTCTTTATAAAAGAATAATTTATAATCATTTGGGTATATACCCAGTAATGGGATTGCTTGACCAAATGGTATTTCTGGTTCTAGATCCCTGAAGAATCGCCACACTATCTTACACAATGATTGAACTAATTTACACTTCCACCAACAGAGTAAAAGTGCTCCTATTTCTCCATATCCTCTCCAGTACCTGTTGGTTCCTGACTTTTTTTTTTTTTTTTTTTTTTTTGAGATGGAGTCTCACTCTGTCCCCCAGGCTGCAGTGCAGTGGCATGATGATCTCGGCTCACTGCAAGCTCCGCCTCCCGGGTTCACACATTCTCCTGCCTCAGCCTCCCAAGTAGCTGGGACTACAGGCACGTGCTGCCATGCCCGGCTAATTTTTTGTATTTTTAGTAGAGATGGGGTTTCACCGTGTTAGCCAGGATGGTCTCGATCTCCTGACCTCGTGATCCACCGGCCTCGGCCTCCTAAAGTGCTGGGATTACAGGCGTGAGCCACTGCACCTGGCCAGTTCCTGACTTTTTAATGATCACTATTCTAACTGGAGTGAGATAGTATCTCATTGTGGTTTTGATTTGCATTTCTCTAATGACCAGTGATGATGAGATATTTTTCATATGTTTGTTGGCCAGATAAATGTCTTCTTTTGAGAAGTGTCTGTTCATATCCTTTGCCCACCTTTTGATGGGGTTGTTTGCTTTTTTTTCTTTTAAATTTGTTTAAGTTCCTTGTCGATTCTGGATATTAGATCTTTGCCAGATGGATAGATTGCAAAAATTTTCTCCCATTCTGTAGGTTGCCTGTTCACTCTAATGATAGTTTCTTTTGCTATGCAGAAGCTCTTTAGTTTAATTAGATCCCATTTGTCAATTTTGGCTTTTGTTGCCATTGCTTTTGGTGTTTTAGTCATGAAGTCTTTGCCCATGCCTATGTCCTCAATGGTATTGTCTAGGTAGTGTTTTTACGGTTTTAGGTTTTTAGTTTAAGTCTTTATTCTATCTTGAGTTAATTTTTGTATAAGGTGTAAAGAAGGGGTCCAGTTTCAGTTTTCTGCATATGGCTATCCAGTTTTCCCAGCATCATTTATTCAATAGGGAATCCTGTCACCATTGCTTGATTTTCTCAGGTTTGTCAAAGATCAAATGGTTGTAGCTGTGTGGTGTTATTGCTGAGGGCTCTGTTCTGTTCCATTGGTCTACTGTTTTGTCACCAGTGCCATGCTGTTCTGGTCACTGTAGCCTTGTAATATAGTTTGAAGTCAGGTAGCATGATGCCTCCATCTTTGTTCTTTTTGCATAGGATTG